>NC_000011.10:33241818-33393333 GCF_000001405.40 Homo sapiens | reverse complement strand
TAAGGCAGAGGGCAGAGTGCATGCCAGGGAAGGCTGCCTGCAGGCCTAACACCTGAGTTGAGTCTTGAAGAAGTGTAGATGGTAATCATGCAGACAAGGCTGGGAAGGGCTTCCCAGGCAGAAAGAATAAAATGTAAAGGGCGCAAAGGGCTCTGGGGAAACTGCAAGCCTCGCTATAGCGGCAGGTGTGAGTTGGAGGTGGTTCATTCATAAAGGACCCAGATTGCTAAGCAATGAAGTCAAACTGAGTTATGAAGAGCCGACAAAAGGTTTGGGCCGATTTATATTTTATAAGAATCTCTGGCTGGAGGACGAGGCTGGTTTAAAGGGGGACAAGACTAGAGACAGGGGACAATTAGGAGATGCAGCTTTGGTAAGAACGTGGACCAAAAGGAGGGAGGGTCTGAAATAAGGCAGCAAAGACAGAAAATTGTCAGAATTATGAAAGTGTTCAGAAATGCAATCAGCAGCTAGGCCCAGTGGCTCACACCTGTAATCCCAGCACTTTGGGAAGCTGAGACAGGCAGATCACTTGAGCCCGGGAGTTCAAGACACGCAGGATAGATACTCACTTTTATCTTTTGCTGCAGAACAAAGAAAACTGGCAATCTGGTTGTTTTTTAACTGCGTGATATAAAAACTAAACTATGGTGAAAAACAAAATCAAACCATGGTTGCTTGGATTGGGTGGGGCGAGTGAGAAGAGATGGGAATGTCTGCAGAAGGGCAAAAGAAAACTTACTTTTTGGGGTCATGGTCACATGCTATATCTTGACAGGGATTTGGGATACACAGGTGTATACATTTGTAAAAACTCAAGAAAATGTACTCAAGAGTTTTGTATTTCATTGTATGTAAAATTTACCTCAGAAAAAGAGTCATAAACAAATACTGAACCCTAATCAATGACATGTATGCGAAAGTATTTAGGGGTGACATGTACTGATGTCTGCAACTTACTCTGAATACATCAAAAATAAGATGAATTGATGGATAGTGGGACAGACAGATATATGATAAAGCAAAATGTTAATTGCACCATTTAGATGGTAGATATAGGGGTGTTTACTATATTGTTCTTTCTACTTTTCCGTGTGTTTGACAACTTCATAAAATGTTGGGTGGGCAGGGAAGGACTGCACTGTATAACTGATAATATATTTACATTGTAATCAGATCTAGTTTCAAATCCCAGCTCCACTACTTACAAGCAATGTGCCCTTAGGCCAGTTGGTTTTTACATGTTCTCTCAATCTCAACTTCCTCCAAGCAAAATGGGCAAGAACTATCTGACAGTGTCATCGTCATGGGGACTCAATAAGATTAAACCCTTGATCCAGTGACTAACACAATAATAGCTGTCTCATAAATGTTAGTCTTCTTATTCAGAAGTCTACATATTCACAAACTAGGACAAATCTTCAATAAAATGTGAAAGAAGAATCTTGTAAAAATTTTTCTCTTGCTATGCCCCATGGGAAATTAAAAGAATAAATTAATTGTGCTATTTTTATAGGTAAAGACACTGACCTTCCATCAGTAGGACACTGGGAGTTCCATGTCTAAGGAGGGTGAGAGATCCACACTGTTGACACTTCCTCCCTGCATCTCCCAGTGACCAACACGACCCGTTGTGAGAGCTGGCCAAGGTTAGCAACATCATCACATCAGGAGGAAAGATGGGGAATGTCGGCAGCATCTTAAGCAGCACACTGAAGCCAAGACTCCCAGTCTCCTTCTCAGATGTGCAAATGAAAAGAGCCAATCAGACAGGCCTTGAGATCTGTTAAAGCACCAGACACGCCGTCGGAAGTGGCAGTCACATGACTGTCTTGGCTTTTAGCATAATTACATGAACTGAGAGATGGCCTTATGATCATAAATAAAAGCCTCCAATTGAGACTAATAATGTGTATCCAACTAAAAGACATCTACTAGGGTACCACGTGGACTCCGCATCCCTAGGTTTGAAACATGATGACATGATGACAGCAAAGGAGGAGGAGCTGCTGACATCTGGAAGCAAAGAAAAATTTCACCTTTCCGTGCCAGAAAACCAAACCAATGCTCATTCAAGAAAATTAGGTCTGACGTCTTAAATTCAGTGAAAGGGTTAATTATATGTCACAAGTGAGACACCATAATCAAAGGAAATTGCAATTTTTTATAAAGCATCGCTGAGTGCCTACTAGGTTGTACCATTGGGACTATACACAGTATTTGAAGCTGTTTTAGACCACGCAGCAAATCTGACTCCCATCCTCTCTACCTTGAAATCTTATTCCCTTTTACATAATTACAAATGCAACTAGTTGACTGGCCTGTGAAGCCTAGGTTTCAAAGTCCTTGGAGACATCGTGCACCTACTGTGGAAGCTTCCCTTCCTCTAGCCCATATATGGATAGGAGCATTGGTGTGCCAGGGCCAGGTCACATCAGAGCTGAGCCAGTTGAGGCATCACTTCCCAACTCCATTATCATGTTAGTAGCTTGAAATCAGCCATGGTGGGAGTATTTATACAAGGAAAATTGGCCAACACTATCAAGCAGGCCACCTGTCATTGTTATCTTCCATAGAACAAGCTTACCAACATGTGAAGTTGTCTTTTACTGCTACGAAGGAGGAGACAAATGTTCAGAAGTTTGCCCTCCAAACTGACATTTAAAACTGACCTCTACCAAGGCCATGGTGAAAGGGGGATCAGGCTAAGAAGGCATTTTTATACCATGTGCCCCTTCTCCTCTGGCCTCTGCTGAATGGATGAGAGGTAGTTTCCCTAATTCCATTGGCCAGATTGCAGCAGCTTGATTCTCCCTCATGGGAATGTGGAACTGGGGCAGAGTCTTGATGGTGGGCGTTTAAACTAAAGAGGCTTGCCCACTCTGGCTGCAGTGAGCACCACAGCAAGTGAAAAGCCCCGTGCAAGGTTTATTGTCAGGGGAACCAAGAAGCTATGGGGAAGCAGAAAAAGCCAGTCTCCAGAAAGAGGCAGAAGGATGAACTGGGCCATAGGAAGAAGAGGCACTGGGCCCAGGAGATGCACAGCCAGTAACCTTAGCCTCTTAATATCCTGGAGGGCAATATCATGAAGCAGAGTGTGGGCTCTGGAATCGAACTGCCTGGGTTCCAATCTCTACTCTGCCAGTTAACTGGGAGACACTGAACCAGTTACTGTTAAGTTATTCTGTGCCTCAGTTCTCTCTTCTGAAACATGGGGATAATTGCAGAACCTACTTCATAGGGTTGGTATGAGAATCAAATGAACTGATACAAACAGTAAATGCTCAAAAGTATTAGCTGTTATTTCTATCAATTAATTATAGCATCCACGTGGCCTGGTTATATTTCATTCCTATTACGAATATGTCACCTGGGATTCCCCCATGGCCTGAGGCCCCATACTGGAGCTAGTTTTAGTTGTGTAGCTAGGTGATCTGTCCCCTGAATCACAGAATAATGTGCAAATCCCTGGACCAATGTGTGACCTTTAGCAAATCACTTTCTCAACCCTCTCTTAGAGTAGTGTGAGATTCAAATAGGAAAAGAAACTGAAAGCTTCGACAACCGTGAACTGTTGTACCAAACTCTGGAGACTGTTGTCTCTGCAGGGAAAAGAAAAGATATTACATTGGTCACAAGAATGGAAAACACTTGTTTAAAATGTGTTTATTGCTGGACTAGAGACTAGAGAAATATTCCCCATCCAACTGGAAAAAAAGGTTCAGTTTCCGTAGGGTTCACCAGCTTGATTCATACGTTCATCTCCAGTATTAATAAGATAATAACAGGAAACTGCCAAAGACAGTTCTAGGATGCTGATTTTTTAATACACTTTCACCCAGCTTAATTATGTTCAAAATAATGCTCCAAAGACTGATCCTCCCATTCTTTTCAAAACAAAGACTTCTTAACGGACAATGAAGGATACAAATCTAGAGATATTTTTATTCATCCCTTTTCAACAAGAACTTATAAGCCACACTGTCAATTTCAACACATTTTCTTCTCACACTTCCCATTTTTCTTCAGCCTTCTTGGGTTTGCTGTTGACACCTGGTAAATAAAAAGGCAAGTGACAGGGGAACGGCATTCATTACTAGGGACAGAGGTAGGCAGACAGGTCTGGGAGTCCCAGTTTCATTCTAGATACTTCATTCCATATTTCATGTGGAAAGACTGAAGTTAGAAGTATTCTAGGCTTCCCCATTTACTTGAACTGCATAAATACCAAAACCATTTTGTGTGTCTGACGTCAGGAGATTTTATTTCTAGCTAAGAATAGATTTAACATATATAAATCTCAATCTAAATCGAATTCACCTCTTGTGGTTAGGACACTTGGGCAAAGCCACGTCTGAGTGAACAGGAGGCAGGTGCAGCAGCGACCTTGGCCTATGTTGAGGAAGCTACTTGGCCTTATTTATATCTAGGATTGGTTATAACATGAATTTATCCCCATTCTATGTGGTGTTTAAAAGGGCCCATGATTTTTCTTAAATGTCTGCAGAAGTATCGTCTAGAGAAGGAAGCCAGGGAGTAAAGGAAAATGGGCAGAACCGTCTAAGGAGATATTTTAACTCTAGGTTTGAATCTGACCTGTGTTGTTAAAGCTATTTATTCTCTTTTATAATAAAAGGTCTTTCCCTGTTTCTAACAGAAGTTCAAGTTCTCTCATGACACAATTTAGTTAGCATGGAAAGAGGGTCATGATATAGTGTTAACGGGAAAAGCAAGTTGCTGAATATTATACCTTTTATATCTTAAAAAAAAATTAAGTTGAGGCTACGTCTATGGATATAAATATTTGTATGAAGAGGTCTGGAAGGATCCATCACACTTGACTGACAGCATGACTCTAGAGAATAGCAAGGTGATATGGTTTGGCTGTGTCTCCACCCAAATCACACCTTGAATTGTAGTTCCCATAATCCCCATGCATTGTGGAAGGGACTCAGTAGGAGGTAACTGAATCATGGGGGCAGTTACCCCTACGCTATTCTTCTGATAGTGAGTTCTCACAAGATCTGATGGTTTTATTCTCCCCACTTCACTCGGCACTTCTCTTTCCTGCCATCATATGAAGAAGAATGTGTTTGTTTCCCCTTCTGCCATGATTGTAACTTTCCTGAGGCCTCCCCAGCCATGCGGAACTGTGAGTCAACTAAACTTCTTCCCTTTCTAAATTACTCAGTCTCGGGCAGTTCTTTATAGTAGCGTGAGAGTGGACTAATACACAAGGCAAAGAGGGCCTTTTGCATTTTACTGCATCTACCTGAGTATTGCTTGAATTTAATAAAATATATATTACTTTCATAATTTTTTAAAATCCAATGAAGATTGAAGATAGGCCTATATTTATCTGGGCCTCACACTGGAACTATGACAGCAAACTGTGGGAAAACTCTTCCCTTTTCAGAATGAAAATCGTTGGCTGGGCTTGGCTGCTAATGTAGGAAGAAGCAGGAAATGCAGATGGTAGAACTCCACCAAAACATCTGCTTATGGCTTGTAAAGACACAGACGGGGGATGGGGGAAGAAGGGAAGATCTTGAGGCTGTTATCCACAGATGAGAAAACGAAAGCCCTGAAAAGTGAAATGATTTGGTAACAGCCAGGGGTGACCTCAGTCTCCTGAATGCAACCAATGCAATTTTCCCTCACCCAGGCTGTTTTCCCTAGACCTTAAACCAAAGTAGTGTCTGCTGGTAGCTTTCAGAATGAGAAAATGGGCCAGGAATGATAGTTCATGCCTATAATCCCAGCACTTTGGGAGGCCGAGACTGGCAGATTACTTGAGGTTAGGAGTTCGAGACCAGACTGGCCAACATGGTGAAACCCCATCTCTACTAAAAATACAAAAATTAGCCAGGTGCAGTGGTGCGTGCCTGTAGTCCCAGCTACTTGGGAGGCTGAGGCAGGAGAATTGCTTGAACCTGGGACGTGGAGATTGCAGTGAGCCGAGACTGTGCCACTGCACTCCAGCCTGGACAACAGAATCAGACTCCATCTCAAAAAAATAAAATAAAATAAAGAGAGAGAGAATGAGAAAATGAACTAGAGGTACCTGATACTTTTTATTTTACTAAAGAAATCCTTGAGGGATCTTCAATATCATCTGTAAGCTCACGGGCCTTAAAAGAGAAATTGTTCTGCACAAACACGTCCATAAAGCAGAAGTGGGAATACTTCTCTCTCATTTTATTTTATTTTATTTATCTTTTATTTTTGAGACAGAGTCTTGCTATGTCACCCAGGCTGGAGTGCAGTGGCACAATCCCGACTCACTGCAACCTCCACCTCCTGGGTTCCAACAATTCTCATGCTTCAGCCTCCCAAGTAGCTGGGACTATAGGTGTGCACCACCATACCTGGCTAATTTTTGTATTTTTAGTAGAGACGGGGTTTCATCACATTAACCAGGATGGTCTCGAACTCCTGACCTCAAGTGATCCACCCTCCTTGGGCTCCCAAAGTGTTGGGATTACAGGATTGAGCCACCGCATCTGGCCCCTATTATTTTATAGACCAGCACTACCCTTCTAACAAAACCAGACACCTTTTAGCAAAACAAAACTACAGACCAATACCCCTCATGAACATGAAACTAAAAATTCCTAACAATGGCCTGGCCGTTGTTAGAAATTTCTTTTGAGATGGAGTCTTGCTCTTGTCACCCAGGCTGGAGTGCAGTGGCATGATCTCAGCTCACTGCAACCTCTGCCTCCCAGGTGCAAGCGATTCTCCTGCCTCAGCCTCCTGAGTGGCTGGGATTACAGGCACCCACCACCATACCCAGCTAATTTTTTTGTGTTTTTAGTAGAGACAGGGTTTCACCATGTTGGCCAGGCTGGTTTCGAACTTCTGACATTAGGTGATCCTCCTGCCTTGGCCTCCCAAAGTGCTGGGATTACAGGCATGAGCCACCACATCTGGCCAGGAATTTCTTTAGTTTGTAAAAAGTTGTCTTTTTACAAACTAAAGATAAACCCTGTGATCATCTCAATAGACAAAGAGAAAGCATTTGCCAAAATCTGATAACCAGTCATGATAAAAATTCACAGCAAATTTGCTAGAGAAGGGAATTTCCTCAGCCTGATAAAGGGCCTCTGTGAAACAAAATCAAAACTATAGCCAACATCATACTCTAGAGAAAGACTGATATTTCCCTCCAATGCCAGGATCAAGGCAAGGATGTCCACTCTCCCTATTTCTATTCAGCAAAGTACTAGAAGTTCTAGCCAGTGCAATAAGGCAAGAAAAATAAATAAAAGCCTTACAGATTTGAAAGAATGAAAAGTGTCTTTATTCACAGATAACATTATTTCCTATTTAGAAAAATCTCAAAGATTCTATAAAAAGCTACTAGAACTAAAATGAGTTTAGGAGGGTCATATGATATAAGGTTTTTAAAATTATATTTCCATACACTAACAAAGAAATTTTTCTATTACTATATGCCAAAGCACTGAAAAACATGAAAAATGTATGTACAAATTTGTATGTGGAAAACTATAAAACATTGATGAGAGAAAAGAAAGAATACCTAAGTAAATGGAGAGAGATATGTTCACGGATTAAAAAAAAAAACACTGTTAAGATAGAGATCTCTAAATGGTCTAGATTCAAAGAAATTCCAACCAAAAATCCAGCAGGCTTTTTAAATAGAAATTAACAAGAAGATACTAAAATCTGTATAGAAAGCATAAGACCTAGAATAGCCAAAAAGATTTTTTAAAAGAATAAAGAATACTCACACTATCTGACTTCAAGACTTACTACAGAACTAAAGCAGTGAAACTCAATCACGGTCAATTTTACTCCCTAGGGGGACATTTAGCAATGTCTGGAAACATTTTTGGTTGTCACAACTAAGAGTGAGGGGAGTTACTGACATCTACCAGGCAGTCAGAAATATTGCTAAACTTCTAATGCACAGGACAGGCAACCACAACAAAGAACCGTTGAACCCAAAATGTTAATAGTGCTGACGTTAAGAAACCCTGAACTAGAGAAATCAAGACAGTGTTGTACTGGCATATGGAGAGAAGTACAATAGAACAGACTAGAAATAAACCCAGACATATATGGTGCCAAGATAAGTCAATGGACCAAGGATAGTCTTTTCAATAAGTGGTGCTAGAACAATTAAATATCCATATAAAAAAATTAACCTTGATTCTTACTTTGCACCATACACAAACATGAAATGGATCACAGACCTAAAAGTAAAAATAAAAATACAAAACTTCTAGAAGAAATCATAGATATTTGTGACCTTGGCACACATTAGGCAATTTCTATGCTAGGACACAAAAAGCACAAATCTTAAATTGAAAAGTTGATAGAGTTAATCTAAATTTAAAACTTCTCTCCTTTTAAAAAAAAAAAACAAAAAACAAAAAAAACGCTGTTAATAAAATGAAAAGACAAGCCACAGACCGGGAGAACACAGTTGCAAAACACCTATCTGATAAAAAGACTTGTATCCAGACTATATAAAGAAAAGCTCAAAACTCAGTAAAAAGAAAACAATCCAATTTTTAAATGGGCAAAATAACTTAACAGACTTCAAAGTAGAGATATAGATGGCAAGTAAGAACATGAAAAGATATGCAACAATAAAATTATTAGTGATTAGAGAAATGTAAACTAAAATGAATGAGATACCACTAAACAGCTATTAGAATGGCTGACATCTAAATTAAAAGGAAAAACAAAGCTGACAATACCAAATGCCAGTGAGGATACAGAGGAACAACTAGAACTCTCATACATTGCTAATGAGAATGCAAAACTGTACAGCTACTTTGAAAAACAGTTTGGCAGTTTCTTATAAGATGAAATACGTCCCTAACACATGACCAAGCAATCCCACCCCTAGGCATTTACCCAAAAGGAATGAAAACTGCCCACAGAAAGACTTCCATGTCATAAACTGGAAACAACCCACATGTCCATCAACTGCTGAATGCATAAGCAAACTGTGGTGCAATGGAATACTATTCTGCAATAAAAAGAACAGAATTAGTGATCGATGCAATGACACAGATGATTTTCAAGAGCATTATGCTAAGTGAAAGAAGCCAAATGCAAAATGTTATATACAGTACAATTCCATTTCTACGACCTTCTGGGAAAGGCAAAACTACAGGGATGGAAAATACATGGGTAGTTTCCAGGGACTGGGTGTGTTGGGGGAGTGGATTAACTGCAAGGGGCAGGAGGGAACTTTTTGAGGTGACAGAAATGTTCTGTATCTGGATTGTGGTGGTGGACGCATGATTGCACACTTTTGTCAAAACTCATCATGCAGCACACCTACAAAGGATGAATTTCACTGTATGTAAATTACACCTTAATAAACTTGACTTTAAAAAAAGAAGAAAAAGATGGTGGCTGATGAGTGTGTTCTCTTTGTACTGCATGACATTTTAGAAATCTGAACTAATTGGTGATATTTGAAAACAAAAAGATTCTAAATAAAGATCTGCCTTTTCTTGAGAAGTCAGAACTATGGCACCCTGAGCCTCGGTCCCATGCAGGCTGCCACTAAGCAGTAGCTGCCTCTTTGAGCAACGCAGGCACTTGCTGTCCTGCCACATCCCCCAACCTGACCCAATTCATGGAAGTACTTTACCCACCTGCCACCACACCTGCCCGAGTGAGAGTTTCTTGTCCTGGACCACGGGCTGCCTGAGAGCAGGGTCCAGGCCTAGCCTGTTCTCACTATACCCCCAGCATCTAGTGGAGGGCCTGACACATGCTGGGTGCTTGATAAACACTGCTGAATTAATATGACTCAGTTGCCACCTTCCTGCCAGCTCCTAAAACTGACATTTACAACACCCAGATTGCTAACTGCTCCTTTGGTCCTGAAGTCCCCAAAGAGAGTCACCATCCATGGCTGCCATCCCGTGACCCAGAATAATGTGTCCCTCTGTGTGTTTAGAAATCCCCTCTAATATGTTGTCAAGCAACGAAAATGTTTTAAGGTCATTCCAACTATTCATTTTTGTCTGGGGAAGAGTGGAGTTTTTGTTTGTCTTTAAAAAAAAAAAAAGAAAGAAAGAAAACCACAATATGGGCTTGAAGGTTAATGAAAATAAAAAGGGAAGTGTGCACATTCATTTTGAATATTCTCAGATCATATTCCAGTAATTTGAGACTTGAGCTAAGTAAGCTTCTGAGAGATTCTCTGGTCGTCATCAGAATTTCAGGATCCTGAAGTTTCCATGGTGGTGGTCAGTTTGACGGAAGGATGTGGGTCAGCAAAGGGATATCTAACTTATTTTATGCCAGTGTTAAAAGTACAGTAACACTGTACTTTTCCAAGTACAAGTAACACTGTACTTTTAATATTTAATACACTTTCTTCTTTTCCTACCTCCTTATTTTATTTTCTCTGTCTCTTGCTTGTCCCCCTTCTCCCTGAACCCCCAAATGCTGCAGTATCCCAGCCCCTCAGAGCCCTTCAGTCCCCCGAGGAGGGCCAGGGGAAGTCCCAGGGCAGGGAGAGGGTGCCAGGGACTCCTCCCTACAGTGCCCTGTGCTCTGGCCCCAAGATCATTTTCTTTACTTTGTGGGGATGGGAAGGATGAGATGGGAGGCAAGATTTGGGACATCTTGTAAGAATCTTTGAAGTACTAATCATACTCAGAGTAAAAAGTCAAAATATATTTTATTGGGCCATCTACATTTGGGGGAAAAACACCAAATCAAACACTCTGGTCATATGTCTTTCATGTTTAAAAATGAGAAAGTGTGAACACATATAATTAGACCTCATCTTAACCCTCCCTTGGCCCACCTCCCCCATGACTCTGCTTTTCTCTAGAGAAAAAACTTCATAAGAATTGTCTTATGTGTTGCCTCCAATGCCTCTTTTTCCTTTCTCTCTTGAACCATCTGCAGTTAGAGTTTTATCCCCATCACTCTCAGAGCCACTAACCACCTTCACACCTCCAAACTCAACGTGCATTGCTAGTGCCTATCTAACTCCACTCTCAGCAGCATCTGTCCAAGCCAATCACGCCCTCCTCCTTGATTGCTTTCTTCTCTTAGCACCCAGGACACCATATACACTTTCTTCTCTTCCTACTGCCTCATTGTTTTCTTCTCTATCTCTTGCTGGTCCCCTTCACCCTGAACCCCTGAATGCTGCAGTAATCCCAGGCTCCTTGCTCAGATCTCCCTCTCTCTTCTCCATACTCACTTTCTAGGTTTCTTATTCGCTTCCATGCTGATGGCTCCAAAATGTATGCCTTAGGACCTGTTATCGCCCTAGAATTCCAGACTACTTTGTTCAACTGGCAACCTGACATCTCCACTTGAATAAACATTTCAAGCTTTACATACCCCCAAATGAACTCTTATTTTCTTACCCCAAACCTGAACTGCTGTCTCAATTAATGGCAACTTCATCTTCCCAGTTGCTTGAGCCAAAGACCTTGGAGCCGTATCAATTCCTCTCTTTCTCTCCTACCCTTTTAATCCACCAGATAATTCTACTAGCTCTATCTTCAAGAGACATCCAAAATCTAACCACTTCTGCTACCACCCTCTCTAAGCCATCTTCATCTGCAGATTGATTTCAATAACAGCTTCCTTCCTGATCTCCTGGCTTCCATACTTGACCTTACAGACTTTTCTCTCCACAACAACCAAGGTGATTCTTTTAAAACTTAAGTCAGATTATGTCACCTCTTGTTTGGATGCTCCAATGGCTGACCATCTCACTCCAACTAAAGTACCCAGTCATCACCATGGCCAGTAAGTCCTATAGGATCCAGCCCCATCTCTCTCTTCAACATCATTTCTCACTACTCTCCCTTTGCTCATTCAATTCTACATTGGCATTCCTGCTCTTCCTCAAACAACGCAAGCACAATCTCTGCTCAAGGCCTTTGCACTTGCTTTTCCCACAGCCTGGAATATTCTTCCCCCAGATTTTCACTGTCAGGTCTACTCAAGGCCATCTCCTCAGAAAGGCCTCCTCTCACCACTCCATCTAGACAAGTTCATGTGTGAAGGCACTATCCCCTACCCTGATTTATTTTGCTCCATAGAGCTTACCATCACCCGACCTACAGGTATTTGCTTATTGCCACTTATTTCTCAAAATGGGGTCCACAAACTTGCATCGTCAGTATTACTCAAGTGCTTGTTAACAATGCAGACTCTCAAGCCTTATTTCAGACCTGCTGAATCAGAATCCACATTTCAACGAGATCTTCACGTGACTGGTAAGCACAGTCAAGTTTGGACGGCACTGGGCTCAATATTCTGAGGTAACGGTAACGAACAAAAACAAGCCCCATTCTCTCTAATCCCTGTGAGAACAGGCCTTGTTTTTGTTCATTACTGTTACCTCAGAATATTGAGGCATTCAAAACATACTGAATAAAGGAATGAATGAATGAACAAATGAGCTTGAACCTGTTCTAGACTCGACTGCAAGTTGATGATGTGTACAAAGAGTTTGGGGAGCGGCAAGGAGGACGTCCCAGGTCAAAACTATCTCCCCACACACTGTTCTAAATTAGAAATTCTTTGGTATCGATTCATCAAGAAGAGCTAAGTATTCTAAATACATATGCGCCCAATGCAGTGGTACCCAGATTCATAAAATTCTTAGAGACCTACAAAGTTCTTTGAGACCTGCAAAGAGACTTAGACTCACACACAATAATAGTGGGGGACTTTAACACCCCACTGACGATATTAGATCATCAAGACAGAAAATTAACAGAAGTATTCAGGACCTGAACTCAGCTCTGGATCAAGCGGACCTGATAGATATCCACAGAACTCTCCACCCCAAAACAACAGAATATACATTCTTCTTATCACCATACGTCACTGATGCTAAAATTGATCACGTAATCAGAAGAAATTCTTTGGTATCAGCAAAACCTTCTATCAACATGCAAATATATTCCCTTAATAAAGCAGTCATTCACAACTTACTGTGAATTATTTAAATGAGACAGTATTCTAAAATCTAACAGAAACAGCCAAGCAGGAGGAACAGGAGTGTAGAGACTGAAAATTTAAGAAATTCCTGTTCTGTGCTGGGTATTGTAACAGGCAATAGGCAAATGAAGGTAAATCAGGAACTAATAAGTTGGAGGGAGAAGCACACAGCCGCTCAGAGCCCTTCAGCCGGCAGAGGAGGGCCTGGGGAAGCCCCAGCATGCAGACAGGGTGCTGAGGACTCCTCCCCACAGCGCCCTGTGCTCTGACCACAAAGAACCCTTTACTTTTCCTCTGCCAGAAATGCCACCATCAACACTGCCAACCCCACCTCATCCTTCAAGGCCCCCATGCCCCCAGAATTAACTATTCCCTCATTAGCTCTGATCACACAGCACAGAGGGCAAGGGCCTTGATCGCCCTCTTCTTGAGGAGCTTCTACAAACTGCCTCGTCCTTATTCACCTCTGTATCCCCTGCCCCTGCACAGCACCTAGACAGAGTAAACATTCCATCGTTTCTGCCATTTTAAAACAGCAGGTAGCATTCACTGAGCGCCTACTGTATACCAAGCACTGTTTGAAACACTTTAGATGCTTTAACTCGTGTAATCCTCACAAGAACCCAATGAGATTGGAACTATTGTTGTCCCCATTTTCCAGATGAGAGAACTGAGACCCAGACAGTCACATTGAGTAGCTGCCCGTGAACAGATGAGCACTATCCCTGTACATAACAGGCACACAGTAAATGTTTACTGACATGAACTGAATGGAAGCTCAGTAGTTAAAAAGAGAGTGAAGTCAAATTTGAGCTCTACCATTTTGCCTGGAGCCTGGATGGCCAAAGAGAATACAGGGTGTCAGTACTCAGTACTACAAAGAAACTTCCTTCCCACACCAACCTCCCGCATCCAAAACAGAGCTTACTGACTGGAAGCAAGACGGAAGACGGAGATGGAAGTTAGGAGTCTAATGGAGGGCAGTGAAGATGACAACAGCCTTTTCTTTATGTGGAAAAGAGAAGGAACTCTGATTCCTTTAGAATATTCAAGCAAAAGAGGCTGGGGTGGGGTGGGTGGAAGTAGACTGGGAACACACTGCAGAGTCTCCAGGACAGGAAGGTGCTGAACAATTGCTACAGAATTTTCCAGAAACAAATCTATGTTTGCCCATTTTTCAACCAAGACAAATGTCTGGCTTAGCCTTCCTTAAACAACAAGGGAGAGCAGCCATGTAAATGATGGGACTGTAGCAAGCCAGCACTTTGAGTAAGATCTCAGACATCTCAGGGTCGGACGCATTCTACAATGAGTGGCAACACCAAACCGCAGCGACTCCTCAGAAAAAGTTCCAAACTAGGTTGTTTGCAGAAAGTCAAAGGCCCCAGAAATTGTCATTCATTCTCCTGCCTCCCTCTTGACACCACTTCTTCCCACAAACCCCTTAGGATGCCCTGCATTAGGCCCAGGACTCACCTACCCTGGGGTGAAACTGCCTCCAGTGGAAATCAGAGAACAAATGAGAGCAGATAGGAGGTAAGAGTTACACACAGGGAACCCAGTGTTTAACCCTTCCACTGAGTCATGGAATTGAATCAGTGGCAAACCCACAGAAAACCATGGAGCTCAGAGGTGGACTGTGAATCCGCAGGTGGGCTGGACCACGGGAAGCTGGTCATAAAGGGGGACAGCAGAAAGTGCATCCAAAAAGCATAGAGGAAGCAACGAGTCGCTCGGATGAGATGGAGAAAGACGGAGAGGACTCTGGGGAGGAACATCAACTTTTAATTATTTTTACCATCATTGTAATCAAAGCATCTTTCCCAGCCCCGTATCCCCATGACCACCACACTGAAAGGAAAAAGAAAGAGGACACCAGGGCTAAACCCAAACAATGTGGATGAGAAGTCCTCTAAATCAGGCTCTGGCGGTCTGAAAGAGGAGCCAAGGAAAGTCAGGGAGGTTCAGAAGGCTCAAGGTACAAAGGTCAGAAGGGAAATCAGAAATTCAAAACTGATCCGAGGAAATCACCCAACATCAGGCTGAACAAGAACAACACATGAAAGCCAGTTTCACATATTACAGATGGCTGAACAAATGAACATCATCCCAAAGCAAACATCTCATAAGCAGTTCACAAAAACGACCAAGGACTTGATATCCTTTAATCAAAAACAGGATGTATGTTTCTGAGCCAATGAATACCAAGGTATTTACGTGGGTCTTTCTCAGGCCTTATCTTTTAACAATTATGCCAAATACACATCACTAAAAACTGCTACAGGCATAAAAATCGGGGGCTAAAATTCGTCAGAGGTTTTTCTCAAGTCTGAGGCACACATCCAAAGATTCCTGAACTTTGTAACCACTATAATCGCAATAGAACATTATCTGACAGTAACTCGCAAGCACAAGCACCACCTGTCAGTGACTCTTTAAGTGAATCGAAGGAAAATGGGCTCTGAATTAAGCTGCTGAAGACGAGAAATATTTTTAACCTAAAACTCTCTTATCTAAAACAATGTCAGCCCCTTTACAATTAGGAATTTTAATCTAATTTGGGGGAGGGGGTACTCTGAGAAAGAAGAAGTCATTAGTCCTTGCTAAAAAATGCAAAACTACAGGAACACATTATCTGAAGTGAGAAATATATTCCTTGATAAGGCAGTGTATCAAGAGCTCAGAATTTCGTCAGAAACACAAAAGCCTGCCCTTTCCAAGTGCAGGCAGTAATCATTATTATTTCCAGGACAACTGCTTACTGCACAGCTTAAGTTTTGAAGCACACTTAGCAGAAAAATCCACCCCCACCTAGAATACTTACAACAGATTTCTCAAAATTGTCCAAGGAATTACAGAAATCTATTTCCTGGGGATTGCTGGAAGTCTACAAGCCAAGCATGACTATTTTTAACTAACCTGCAAACAGTGGATTATATACTTAATGAGCGCCTGCATCCCTTTGCAAGGTGCAAGCAATTATTGGAGAGACCTCCTTCCCAAAAGAAAAGGGTTCCGCTATCAACACAGGAGAAACTGTGTTGATATTTGGGAAGCCGACACGCGGATTGCCTAAAACTCTCTAGCCATTTCATGCAGTTAAGACAAAGTGGACACTCAACAGAGAGCCCAAAATACCAGGGACTTTGCCACCCTGAAACGTGTTCTAATGATACATTTCCCGTTTAAGGTGTCCTAAACACACATCTTTCTCTAAATAAAGCGTGCCTGCGGGACCACTAGGAAGGTTCTACAACTTGTCCAAAAAGAAGAGGCGATTGCTCCTTTTTTTTTCTTCCCCGCCCAAAGTGCCTTCCCGAAAGACAGATTTCTGACAGTTCGCCTACTGTTGCAGCAGTAAAGGGCCGGTGTTGCCAATACCTCTCCACCGCCACCTGGGCAGGTGTGGGTCCCGTCCCGCCGCCCCGCTCCTCCAGAAACCTCCGCGGACGCCCCGCCGCCGAGCGCTTACCCGGGTCGGCCTGGCCGTGCTCCAGGAGGGCCGCCAGCAGCAGAAGTCCCAGCAGCAGCGTCGGTGGCCGCGGGGGCGCATCGTGGGACGCGCCGGCCCCGGGGCCCCTCACACCCGTGCAGCGCGCGGCTCCCCAGGCAGCCCGACCAAGCCCACGCGCCACGGGCCGGCCCCCGCGCCCCCGCGTCGCGGGCCCAGCTTCCCTTGAGCCCTGAGGCTTGGCCTCCTGCGGAGCCATGGGGACGCTTCACACATCCAGGCCGCTGCCTCGCTCTGCACCGCGCCGGGGAGCCCAGCCCTCGGCGCCCCGGTCCTCACCGGGCATCGCCGGCCACGGCCCGGGCGCCGGAGGGAGGGGGCGCCGAGCGGCGCGACTGGCTCGCTCGTCCTGCCGCGCCCGGGGCGGGCTCCAGGGAGCCGCGGCTTCACCCGCGCAGGGGCCGGGCCCGCATGGAGCCGCGGCGGGTGCGGGCCGGGGTTCCCACGGTGCCTGTCGCCGCGCGCCGGCGCGATTGGGGCGGCGAGGGTGGGACGGGCGCCGCCCGGGGCCCCCTCCCCCGGGCCGGCTCCTGCAGAACTAGGGGGCGAGGCTGCCGGGAACGGGGGTGGCGGCCGCGGGGCGCGCTCGGGTCCCTCCCTCCCGCCGCCGCTGCAGCCTCGGCGCCCCGCTGTCCTGGCTCCTCGCTCCTCGCTCCTCGCTGGGCTTCGGGTTCCAGCCCCGGCTCCGGCTCGGGTTCCCGGGCCGCGAGTGCTACCGCAGCTCAGAGCGGCGCCTCATTGACAAAGAAAGCACGTAGCCTCCGGAACGGGCGAGGAGGCGAGGAGGCGAGGCCGGCGCGCGCGCGCAGCCCCGCGCGGAGCCACCGCGCGCTCCCCGCTCCCGCGCGCCCGGCCGGGCTCGAGACCCAGGAGGGGGACCCCTCCCGGCGGCTCCCGCGCAGCGGAGGTCCTTAAGGGGAGGGCTTCCCTCCCCTCCTGTCCCCCATCTAGAGAAGGGAAGGTTGGCGGGAGAGAGGTCGTCTGGCCGGGGAGGGGGGTCATGGTCAACGTGCCCAAGCGGCAGGAAAGCTCTTCCGCCTGGATTTTGGAAAAGCTCTTTGTAGAAGGGCGGGCGCGCTTTGTGCTGTTTGTTCACTACTTCTCCGAGGGTTCAACGGACAGCTGCATGCCAGTTTACCCCTGAGGAGCTCAAGCGGCTGTGGGCTAGTTGCAATAACACGCTGGATTAAAACACATTATAAATATTTGTTGCAGCCACACTACGTGCAAAGCATTACACTGCGCACTGGGAAGACTGGGGGAAGTTTTTCCAAAAAAGTCTACACCCCCAAACAGGAGAGTCAGGCAGCTCCTGCTCAGAGGGACAAAAGGCCCAGGCGTCACCTGAGTTGGTCCCCTGCTCTTCGCCCTTGCTAGCCTTGATGGCCTTAGCAAGTGACCTGGCTCATAGGCGCCTCATCCATCCCCAGTCACTGAGTATCTATTACGGGCCCGCTGTTTGCCAGCATCTGTGTTAGGCACTGAGGATACAAGCAGCGGGGAAACACACACATCCTTGACCCGGTAAAGCTCAGACGCTATTCACTCAACAATCCTTACTGACTGCCTGCGATGTGCCAATGACAACAGCCATAAACAAAATCCCTGCCCTCCTGGAGCTGACATTCTAGTGGGGGTTCACCCGCAATAAACAAATAAGTAATAGAATATTAGACTGGTAAATGCCGTAAAGAAAAATCAGTGTAAAAGAATGAAACGTGGGGAGGGGGTGTTGCAAATGTTAAACATTGTGAAGAAAGGCCTCGCTGAGAAGGTGACGTTTGAGCCAAGATCTGAAGGAGGTGAGAACAAGCCATGCGCGAAGAGCATTCCAGATACAGGGAACCAAAAAGGCTAACATCCCGGGGCAGAGCGTGCCTGGTGTGTTAGGGCACAGCAACTTAACCAGGGGATCTGGAAAAGTGTTAGGTTCTAGTTATTGAGCATCTGCAGGATAGAAATAACACCACATTTCATCTAAGACACATACTTTTCACATGTTAACTTTTCAGAAGTCAGATGTGTTCTTATAATATGTCTAAGATTTGTTGAAATATAGTAATGCCTTGTTGGGGGTTATGATTTAATTTTGTTCTTTAATTAAACTAGTTGGGCTGTTTTGGGTTGTGTTAAGAAACTTGCAGTCTGGCCTGGCGCAGTGGCTCACGCCTGTAATACCAGCACTTTAGGAGGCCAAGGCAGGCGAATCACCTGAGGTCAGGAGTTTGAGACCAGCCTGGCCAACATGGTGAAACCCTGTCTCTACTAAAAATACAAAAATTTGCCAGGTGTGGTGGTGCATGCCTGTAATCCCAGCTACTTGGGAGGCTGAGGCAGGAGAATTGCTTCAACCTGGAAGGCAGAGGTTGCAGTGAGCCAAGATTGCACCACTGCACTCCAGCCTGGGCAACAGAGGGAGACTCCTTCAAAAGAAAGAGAGAGAGGGAGAGAGAGAGGGAGGGAGGGAGGAAGGGAAAGATGCAGTCTAGTTGAAGAGATAAAGCAATTCACTAAATTAGTTGGAGACACTGTGAGAAAGCCAGCCCATGGTCATGGTTCAGGCAGCATCACAAGATGAACGGCCCTGCAGCCGGTGGTGATCCCACGGACAAGGCGATGGGGAATGAGGATGTCAGGCAAAGAAGAACTGAAACAAGGGCAGGGTATAGACTCGCTTAGGTGTTGCAGAAAAGGGAGCCCCTGGAGAGAGAAGTGGGCGGAGCAGAGGCAGGGAAGGAGGCAGGAAGATTGGTCTTGGAGCAGTGGGCCTGCCTGTTTGAGACCCAGAACTCTTATGCTGAGGCCAAGTTGTGAAAGGCCTTGGACACATCTGAAGGAGAGGGAGAGGGGAAGATAAGTCACTCTCAGGAGCACCAATCCTGTATCAGGCTCTGAGTTAAGAGCTCCGGAGAACACACAGGTGGATGTGATGGGGGAAAACACGAACCCTTTAGTAGCCACAGCTTCCCCCACCCACCCCTTTTCTGCACCTGGACAATTGTGGTGTTGATGGTGAGTCAGGAACTGAGGAAGCTGGACAGGCTGGCTGCATTCACCCGGGAAGCGACTGAATGTTGCTGGCCTAAAGAGATATAAAAGATCCAGCAGGAGAGACGCTGTGTGCAAAGCAAGAAAGGCAAGACCTGAACACAGCTGGCTTCTCCATGCGAGTTGAGAGAGATTGATTTAGGGGCAACTGCCATGGGGTTGGGAGATAGCAAATGCATATCTCGAGAAAGTAAATTCTGTATTGTAAATGGGATTTTCCCTTCTCCATTATTTGCCAGACTTACACAAATTATAAATTACTTTTCACGTGTTGGTTGTTGCACTGGTGTTTCAATGAATTCGTCTCCCTGATGAGACTGACCTCAAGACGAGATACCATCCCTTTCCTCAAGAAGCCTACAGTCAGCCAGGTGCAGTGGCTCACGCCTGTAATCCCAACACTTTGGGAGGCCGAGGTGGGTGGATCACGAGGTCAGGAGTTCAAGACCAGCCCGACCAACATAGTGAAACGCCGTCTCTACTGAAAATACAAAAATTAGCTGGGCATGGTGGTGCATGCCTGTGATCCCAGCCACTCGGGAGCCTAAGGCAGGAGAATTGCTTGAACCAGGACCCAGAAGGCGGAGGTTGCAGTGAGCCGAGCTCACACCACTGCACTCTAGCCTGGGCTACAGAGCAAGACTCCGTCTCAAAAAAAAAAAAAAAAAAGAAAAGAAAAAAAAGAAGAAGAAGCCTACAGTCTAATGAGGGGGACAGATACATGCAGCAATAACTTCAGAGCAATGTGCTGAGGATGCGATAGAGGTACGTGCAGATCACTCATCGCCATGGGAATGTGAGCAAGGGGTGGCTATTTCTGCCTGGAGGAGAAAAGGCAAAAGAAGGAAACATTTAAAGTCGGAGTTTGCCAGGCACAGCCAATGACACAATAGAAAGCCATGAAAGTCTGCAGCATTTTGCAGGGAAAGATAAGGTATCTGGTGAGAGAAGCACAGAGGGAACTTAGGGAGATTCAGCCTCCAGGCAGGGGAGCCAAGTTACGGGCAGATGTTGAGAGCCTGCGATGCCATGGCATGGAGTTTGTACCTTATTCTTATCCAGGAGGAACCACTCCGGAAGGGTTCTCTGCTGGAGCAGGAAGCTTGGTGAGATCTTTGACTGATGAGTCATTGATTGGTGGGTGACTGTATAGACTCTGAAACTTTACTCAGATTTAAATTCAGGCCTTACCGTTTACTAGCTGTTTAACTTTGGGCACATCATATAGAGATTACTCTATATCTCTCACCTATAAAACTGGAAATGATAAGAGTGACTCCCTCATTGAATTGTCTTGAGAATTGAATTGATACATGTCAAGCATTTAGAAGAATACTTGACACACAGTAAACACTCAACCAATCTTATTATATGACAATTGCAACCCTCTTAAACCATAAACTCTTTCATTAATTTTAGTCTATTTCTAGGGCTTTGGGGCTTTCTCAGTGTGTAAATTTATTGCTACATAGCTTTCAAAAGTCAGTGTGTTTTGTGCAAAGCATTTTGTTAGGCTGGGAAGAAAGAACAATCTTTGGGCAATTGTTTCAGGCCCACAACAGAAATTTCTGCCATTCATAGAGGGGAAATCTCTAGGCCTCTGCTTTCATTCTTTTTAAAATAGGCAGCTATTTCTCCTCTAGTCAAGAACTCTGTTGCTGACACTCCTTGCTGGAGCAAAGCCCAAGTCTACACTGAACTCCTTTTGTGCACCCAGGACCGTTCTAGACTCTAGGATTCCCACAGCAAGCAAGGCCTTGTCCCCACCCTCACTGAACTCCATACTTAGGAATAAGTGGGGGAGGCTGGGCGCGGTAGCTCACGCCTGTAATCCCAGCATTTTGGGAGGCTGAGTCGGGTGGATCACATGAGGTCAGGAGTTCGAGACCAGCCTGGCCAACATGGTGAAACCCCATCTCTACTAAAAATACAAAAATTAGCCAGGCATGATGGTGGGCGCCTGTATCCCAGCAACTAAGGAGGCTGAGGCAGGAGAATCGCTTGAACCTGGGAGGCAGAGTTTGCAGTCAGCCAAGATAGCACCACTGTACTCCAGCCTGGGCGACAGAGTGAGACACCATCTCAAAAAAAAAAAAAGAGTAAGTGAGGGAGATGAGTAAACACTCAATTATGCCACAGTTCAGTATATGCTGTCAGGGGGGCGGGAAAGGATGCTGTGGGCTTCTGCAGAGGAAACTGCTGAGAGAGGAGGTTAGGGAGGCAAGCAAGGGACTGGTGCCATGGTGTATATTGCAGACATTGAGACAGAAGAAATTCAAAACAAAAATTTAAATATGGTTTTCTTTGCTTCCGTGCCCTTGAGAAAACACTGGATATAACAACGATGGGTCGTTTACTGGGCCCTTCCTGCCTGGCACTGTCCTGGCCCTGAGACAAATGCTTATCATATGGGTTCCCCGCAGACAGCAACTGCCCGCAAGGGCAAAGAGATGCAGCTGAATTAACAATGACAGAGGGCAGTAGGGAGCTTAGGGACAAATTTTAAAGCAGAGGAGTGGTGAATGTGTGTTCCAGGAAAATCACTCTGGCCACCTTGTAGAACGGGTACAACAGGGGTGAGATAAGGAGGAGGCCGACTGTAAGAAGGCTGTTGCAGAAACGCAGGTCAACTAGCTTTCCCCTCCCCCTTATATCTCAACCTGTTTTTCTAAAAACAGTTTCCCAGGCCCACCCCAAGGCCCAGCACATCGGGCCCAGCAAGACGGTAACAGCACCCACTAGGACCAGCCCCTAGACTCCAGGGTGAGTGAGACTGATCTCAGTCCTCAGGGTGTCCCCCACAGCAGCCTAGCTACTCAGTGTTTGTTGACTTCAACTTGACATCCATTGATGACATTTCAGCTCCTCCAGGTTCTGGCTAATTATCCTCTAAATCCTCCAGGGGGGCCAGGCTCAGTGGCTCACGCCTGTAATCCCAGCACTTTGGGAGGCCTGGGCGGGTGGATCATTTGAGGTCAGGAGTTTGAGACCACCCTGGCCAACATGGTGAAACCCCATCTCTAATAAAAATAGAAAAATTAGCCAGGCATGGTGGTGCACACCTGCAATCCTAGCTACTCAGGAGGCTGAAGCAGGAGAATCACTTGAACCCGGGAGGCAGAGGTTGCAGTGAGCCGAGATCATGCCACTGCACTCCAGCCTGGGCAGCAGAGTGAGATTCCGTCTCAAATAAATAAATAAATAAATCCTCCAGTGGGAGGAGGCAGGGTCTTTTGTTTGTTTTTTAACGATCAAAGGTCAATCTGTCTCTCACTAATACTTCTGTTGCTTTTGGGATTCATCCAATAGCAGAGCAGAGATCTGGTCTAGCATTTGACAGTATGGGGCTAGCTCATTTTTACTGTCTCTCTTTGCCCTCAATTTCTTGTCTCACTGTGTTGAGACTATTTCTTGGGCTCTGTGGGGTGGAAACCAGGATTGGTCATTGAAAATCTCAATGATTTACAACCTGAGTTGAAGTCCTAACTCCATCACCTAATAACTAGTAACCTTGAGAAAACTTTAAAACGCTACCACACTATCCCTTTCAGAAACTAGAGATATCTACCCAAGATATCAAGATACATGTATCTACTCAAAACAAATAAAAGCGTATGTTCACACAATGCTTTTACACAAATATATGGAGCAGCATTATTCACAATAGCCAAAAAGTGGGAAGAACTCATGAACTGGTGAAAAGATAAATAGAATGTGGGACAACCAAATACTGTTCATCGATAAAAAGGAAGAAAGTACTGATACATGCTACAACACTGATGAATTGAAAATACTATGCGAAATGAAAGAAGCCAGTCACAAAAGGTCACAATATTCTATGACTCCGTTTGTATGAAGTGTCCAGAAAAGGCAAACCAAAGAGAAAGTAGATTAGTGCTTACCTGGGGCTGGTGAGTAAAAACAAAAAGTGACTGTAATGGGCACAAAGTTTCTTTTTAGGGTAATAGAAATGTTTTAAAATTAGATTGTGGTCATAGAGAATTTAATGTCCTCCTAAAGCCAGGCACAGTGGCTCGAGCCTGGAATTCCAGCACTGGGAGGCCCAGGTGGGATTAGTTGAAGCCAGGAGTTCAAGCCCAGCCTGGGCAATACAGCAAGACCCTGTCTCTAAAAAAGTAAAGAAAAGAAAAGTCCTCCGAAAAGTCCTCCAAGAGATTGGACATCATCTTGACAGTGACAGTGAAAATTTGAAAGCAGGCTGGCATCCAAAGGCAACTTCAGAATTTTCATGAGAAGCTTTGAGGAAACTGGTCCAGGACTCGTCTTGAAGCTGAATTTGATAAGAAGAGCTCTGCTTTCACTTAGGTTATGTTTACTTGCCCCTTCTATTGCTCCAAGCATCTCCTTGGCACCTCCACTGCTACTGTCTTGGTCAAAATTGAATTTTAAAAAGACCACCTGGAAAGTAATGAGGAAGGTTGGAGGAGTGGGGGTGGACTCAAAGCCAGGAAGTCAGATAAAAGTATTAGTTTGGATAAGTTCCAGGTCTGAACTGAGGCAGCACAATGAGGATGGTAAGGAGACAGGAACAGTGTTGAAGGATTTGACAGGGAGTAACCAATGATACCAGGAGAAAGAGGAAGAGGAGGAGGGAAAGGGAAGAGAAGGGAAGGGAAGGGAAGGGAGAAGGGAAGGGAGAAGGGGAGGGGAAGGAAAGGGAGGGGAGGTAGGGGAGAAGGAAGGAAAGTAGGAAGGAAGATAGGTATCTGGGAATACAGGAAATATAGATACAGGAAAATTAGGCTTGGGGGAAAAAAACAAGTGCTAAAAGGAGCATCCAGGTAAAGCTGTCCATTAGGCCCAAGTTTCACAAACTCGAATGTACACATAAGTTACATGGGGATGTTGCTAAAATGAAGATTCTGATTAAAAAGGCCTGGGGTTACCATGGCTAGAAAAATTCCAGAAAATAAAGAAATCTATTTTTAAAAAATTTTGAAGTGAAAAAAAAGTAGTAAAAAAAATTGAAATACAAAAAGAAAAACAAAAATAAGTAGTAAAAAATACAAAAAAACACAAAAATATACAAAAAAAAAAAAAAGAGAGAGAGAGAGGCTAAAAAGAACGTCTGGGGTCACCCAGGAGTCTGCATTTATTTATTTATTTATTTATTTATTTATTTAAGAGGGAGTCTTGCTCTGTTGCCCAGGCTGGAGTACAGTGGCGTGATCTCAGCTCCCTGCAACCTCCGCCTCCCAGGTTCAAGCGATTCTCTTGCCTCAGCCTCCTAAGTAGCTGGGATTACAGGCATTCACAACCATGCCTGACTAATTTTTGTATTTTTTAGTAGAGAAGGGTTTTCACCATGTTGGTCAGGCTGGTCTCAAACTCCTGACCTCAGGTGATCCACCCGCCTCAGCCTCTGAAAGTGCTGGGATTACAAGCGTGAGCCATGGCACCCAGCCCCAGAGTCTGCATTTCTAACAAACTGTCAAGTGATGCCGAGGCTGATCGGAGACAACTCTTTGAGTAACAAGATATTGGGCCATTCGGTATAGGGCTTATACCTAACGTCAGTGAGTGAATTTTTAAAAAATCAAATCCCTAAGCTTTGGTAGTTGTTGAAAAGCTATTCCTGTGTTTTTACAAGAAACGAAAAATGAAAAAACAAAAAACAGCTTCATTTCTACTCTTCACTTCCCTGGAGATGACTAGGCACGGCCTCTGTATCCGTGGTTCTGCATCCACAGATTCAACCAACCTCAGGTGGAAAATACTCAGAGAAAAACTATAAAAAAATAGCAATACAGCAATAAAAACGTGGAAATAAAAAACAATATGGTATAACAACTTTTTGCATAGTGCTTACATTGTATTAGTATTATAAGTAATCTGGAGGTTATTTAAAGTATATGTGGCCAGGCACAATGACTCATGCCTGTAATCCCAGCATTTTGGGAGGCCAAAGCAGAAGGATCGCTTGAGACCAGGAGTTCCAGATCAGCTTGGGCAACAGACCTCATTTCTGCAATAATAATAATAATAATAATAATAACAAAACAAATAAACCACACTTTTTAAATTAGCTGGGCATGTGGTGCGTACCTGTATTCCCAGCTACTTGGGAGGCTGAGGTGAGTGGATCACTTGAGCCTGGGAGGTTGTGGCTGCAGTGAGCCATGATCAAGCCACTGCACTCTAGCCTGGGCAACAGAGCAAGACCCTGTCTCAAAAATAAAAAAGCATGTAAGTATATGGGAAGGTGGATGGATGAATGGATGAAGGTAGTGTACGTATATATGCATGTATGTATGTATGTATGTATGTATGTATGTATGTATGTATGTATTACAGACAAAATCTGGCTCTGTCACCCAGGCTGGAGTGCAGTGGCACAATTATAGCTCACTGGAGCCTTGAACTCCTTGGCTCAAGTCATCCTCCTGCCTCAGCCTCCAGAGAAGCCAGGACTACAGGGTGTGCCCCCACACCAGCTACTTTTCATTCTTTTTATTTTTGTAGAGACAGGGGTCTCACTATGTCACCCAGCCTGGTCTCAAACTCCTGGTGTCAAGCAATTCACTGGCCTTGGCCTCCCAAAGTACTGGGATTACAGGCATGAGTCACTGTGCCAGGCCCAAAGTATATGAGATGATGTAAATGTGTAGTTATATGCAAATACTATGCCATTTTCTATCAGAGACTTGAGCATCTGTGGATTTTGGTGTACAAGAGGAGTCCTACAACCAATCCCCCACACATCCCGAGGGATGGCTGTACTTCCTCACCTGTTACCACGGGGGATTTGCAGTGCCCTTCTTCCCTGATGATTCTTTCCTCCCCACTTATATTAGACTAGGGCATGCAAATTCTTTTGGCTAATGGCATGTGACAGAGATGACAATGTGCCAGTTTCATTCATAAGCTTTAAGAACCATTTCAAGATTCAACTCTGCATCTTTTCCCTCTTCCAATAAGAAAGCATGTCCAATATTTTTTACTCTTTCAGTCAGAATCCTAAAATAAAGAAGGCCCATGGAGCATATGTGACCTGCAGACAGAAGCAGAGCTGCCACCAATCTGGGAGCAACATGTAACAAGGGAAAAAGATAAGCCTGTGCTGGTTTGGGGTACTAAGATTTTGGGGATCATTGTTACTGCAGTATAACCTATTGAAAGCTGACAATCAGATTCTGTCAGCTATTAATGAAAGAAATAAGGCTGGGAAGGAAAGAGAAGAGCTCAAACAAATGTTTCACTTTTTAAAAGTTATTAAATTTTCAAATATATCGTCTTGATGGATACCAAGAAGATATAGAATAAGGTTATAGGCTTATTGTAACCCTTTAGATTATTTGAATGCAGTTATCAGGGGAGTTTAAAGAATATGAGCCTTGAAATGATAGCTCTGGCTATGCCATTCTTCCTGGGAACTTAAACAAGCCACAGCCCCCTTGCTTAACATAAATGGGAAATACCAGATGCTTCATGAGGTTCTGCAGTGCTGTGCTAAATCTCGCTTGTGCCAGCTTGTGAGAGCCAATTGTTAAATTTACAGGAATTTTATGAAGCCGTTGTTAAACACAGTCATCATTAAAAATTCAATTACATAAAGTTACAATTAAATTATGTTAAAAGCAAAGGTAAATACAGGGCAATCCTCACTTTACATGGATCCAGGATACACGAATTTTGGTTATCACCATTTAGTTAAATAATACCAGTCTGCCAACAACGCAGTTCAAATTTTAGTCACCACAGTATATTAGCTGTGAGTGATTGCATAAAGTACAAACTTCATTGCTAGCTCTTTGGTCCACAAATCACTTTGTAGGCAATAGATGTGCTTCATGATCAGTGACCAATCGCATCTCTTCTTTCAAAGACTGTCAGTGATGGAGCACTGCTCATCCGTCATTCAGTTCTTGCAGACAGCAAATTGTGTGGTTGTTTTACCTTCTTGTCCTCCAGTGACGAACCCACATGACATTTGACAAAAATGGATAGAATCAAAAGAGGCAGTTGACCAACAAAGATGAGGGTGCAGCAAAGAAATAAAAAGTGACAATGCTGGAAGTAAAATTTGACATAAATGTAAGTGGAATTGTAGAGGAAATAGCTCATTGTAGGAATGTTGACACACTGCTGTTCTAGAGTCTGTACAGGTGCAGCCAGAGGAACTCAGGGAAAGCAAACTTATCAACATAAATGAGCAAAGTGGCTCTGACAAAAAGAATGAAGATAGCCCAGAGAGGAAGTGATGCTGAAAAAGATTCACATTAGAGAAATTCTCAGAGATATTTCACGACATTCAGAGCACAGAGGATAAAATGTTGGAAGCTGATCCAAACTTGCAAAGGAGTATGACAATTTGCCAAGGTATAAAAAAGGTGAATCCTAAGTTATATGATAAGAAGAATGCAAACACCATTTAAACTACTGATACATTTTTTTGCAAAGAAATAAAACGCTTAACTCTCAATGCTTCTCATGTTTTTAATTGGTATGCTATATAAATATTAGCTTTTCTATTTTTTCATTTCCCTATACATTTACAACCAACAGTAAGAGACTTAGCAATGCTTTAACAAAAAAATAATGTTAAAGGTCATGGAACAATTGTAATTTTTCCCATTGATAAAGATCACATAGTCTGAGCTTCTATAGTCATTTTTATGGCCACACACTGCTGTCCAAAGTAAGGATGAGTTATACTCAAAACATATCACCTTTGAATAATTTTACTATTATCTGTGCTCTTGAAGTTATTTATGTCTATCTTATCTATGTTAAATGGTGCAAATCTCTTTCCAGCTCTGTGTTCAGCGACATTGTGCAGATAGCTTGAAATTGTTCTTGGTGGGAGCATTTACACCATGAAAATTGGCAAACACTACAAATCAGGGCTTGACTTATTGTTTTGTTGATCATCTAGACTTGAGAAAGTTATGGAGAAAATGTTAATGTGGACTATATTTAAATGTTTATCTTACCTATGGTTGTACATTGTTAATAACAAACAAAATATGGGGAAAAAAGGGAAAGCGTATTCTTCCAGTATTTGAAAATTATCGTCAGATAGAGCAAAGAATTCACTCATGTCATTGTTGAACAAGTGAAGTTCTAACATACGTCTTTGTTGTTTCCTTTTGGTCTTAAATGTAAAAGAAAACAATAACAAACACTGACATCAAAAGTATACTTGTTGATCAATACCATGAGCAACTTCTTGGCTAAATCAGGTAGTAATCAAGCATTTATTCATAGCCTGATTTTGTCAAATCATGGTAGAATTATAACCTTAAGTTGGAAGAATTATAACCTTAGGCTGGCTGTAAGTATATAAATAGATATACTGTACTATACTATACTATACTATACTATACTATACTATACTATATGTCTATCTATATACTCTTAGTATGTCTACAGCCAACTTAAGGTTTTACTTAAGTCTATACTTATAAGTATACTTATATGTCTGGTAAAACTCAACAAAAGCATTCTATGAGAACCAGTTGGCCATATGGAATTTATAATAAAGACTGTTGTATACTTTATTATCATTTATAAATTATGTGCTACCATTCTTTATATTCATGTAATTTATAACAAATTTATATAAATACATATGAATACCCCCTTACCCACCCAGCTAGTTGGTGAACATTTGCCAGCACTGCATTTTAGAGAATGTAATTAGGTGGGACTTTCACAGCTGTAGAGTCAAACAGGGACTGGAATTTCACCATTGCTTCTTTCTGTGTTATCTTTGTTTTGTTTTGATTTGCTTTGTTTTGTTTTGTTTGGAGTCTCACTCTGTCGCTCAGGCTGGAGTGCAGTGGCACGATCTCGGCTTACTGCAACCTCCACCTCCCAGGTTCAAGTGATTCTCCTGCCTCAGCCTCCCAAGTAGCTGGGATTACAGGCACGTGCCACTATGCCCAGCTGATTTTTTGTGTTTTTTAGTAGGGACGAAGTTTCACCATGTTGGTCAAGCTGGTCTCGAACTCCTGACCTCAGGTGATCCACCTGCCTCGGCTTCCCAAATTGCAGTGCTAGGATTACAGGCATGAGACACATCGCCCGGCCTCTTTCTGTGTTATCTTAAGTAAACTACTGAGCTTCTCTAAGCCTTTTCTTTTTCTGCAAAATAAAAAAAATAAAGAAGGATTTGTCACAAGAAGGGGTTGTTGTGAGAATAAGCCACATAAAAGGCTCTGGTACAATGTAGGTGTTGAATGTCTGTTACTCTTTTCCTCTTATCTTTTCCTTCCACTTCCAGCTGCCAAATCCTCTAAGTTTTATTTCCTTTGCTGGAGATAAAATGATCTACACGTTTTCGTACTACATCGCAGGTCTACCTGACAGCAGAGAAACGAATGGATGAATGGATGTCTTCCTTTGATTCCTTGATAAACCAGTCAGTCTAAGTAGTAATTTAAGAATTCATGGACGGTTGAAATCCTTTCTCACTTTTTCAAAATATATAAAAATTAGAAACAGAGCCGGCCGGGCACTGTGGCTCACGCCTGTAATCCCAGCACTTTGGGAGGCTGAGACGGGCGGATCAAGAGGTCAGGAGATCGAGACCACCCTGGCTAACACGGTGAAACCCCGTCTCTACTAAAAATACAAAAAAATTAGCCGGGCGTGGTGGCGGGCGCCTGTAGTCCCAGCTACTCGGGAGGCTGAGGCAGGAGAATGGCATGAACCCAGGAGGCGGAGGTTGCAGTGAGCCGAGATCACACCACTGCACTCCAGCCTGGGCGACAGAGCGAGATTCCGTCTCAAAGAAAAAAGAAAAAAGAAAAAAAGGAAAGGAAGGAAGGAAGGAAGACGAAAGAAAGAAAGAAAGAAAGAAAGAAAGAAAGAAAGAAAGAAAGAAAGAAAGAAAAAGAAAGAAAGAAAGAAAGAAAGAAAGAAAGAAAGAAAGAAAGGAAGGAAGGAAAGAGAGAGAGAGAGAGAAAGAAAGAAAGAAAAAGAAAGAAAGAAAGAAAAAGAAAAACTGAGCCAAGTGTGGTGGCTTATGCCTGTAATCCCAGCAATTTGGGAGGCCGAAGTGGGAGGATCACTTGAGCCCATGAGTTTGAGGCTACAGTGAGCTATGATTATGCCACTGCCCTCCAACCTAAGTGACAGAGAGACAGAAACATCGTCTCTAACAATAAAAATTACAAAATTAGACACTCCGACATAGCCTACACTGCTCATATTTCTGCTTTGCTATTTTCTTTAAAGTTATTATGAGACCAAACTTAAAAAAAAATTTATTAGGAAACTTCCCCCCCTGCTGGCCATAATACAACATAGCAATACTATATTGAACGGCATTACTAAACGTCAAACTGAAAATAAACTCAAAATAACTAATCTTGCAAACTGCCTACCCACAGACCAGCTCTGGCCTGAAGACAACTTGTGTTTGGTATACACCATGTCTAAAATAATTTTTTTAAAAAACTTTTGAATTAGTTGCCAATATCTGACATGCATATTTCTGTGTTTTCTCCAAAAAGTAGACATTGGTGCACATTTGGTCTGCCATCCTACTTGTGTTTCCTGATTACTTTGGGTGGGGCTTTGACTCTCCACTCGGCCAGTCCCCACTCAGTCTGCTTCATCTACTTATGGCATCTGCCCAGCCCTTGCTGCTTTTAAGTTTGCAACCCCAGGCTCTCTCAATTTGCCAATGAGTACACTGAAGCCCAAACTTGCTCAAAATCATACTACCTATAGTAGCAGCAAAGCAGATAATGAAATATGGGCCTCCTAAATTGCATTCAACAGATGTTTATTGATTTCATTCATCTATTTAACAAATGTTTTAGTGCTGACTGTGGCCAGGTACATAGCAAATGTCAAAGAAACAGAGTCTGCAGGATTAAAATGGCCTTTGTCTTTAGAGCTTACAGTTAGTGCAAAGAGCAGGTGGGCAAGGCAAGAAATATAATGAAAGTGATGAAACAAGGGATAAGGGAACTGTGGCGATGCTGCAGCACAGTTCCTGCTCTCACCTCAGCACCTGGTTCAAGTTCATCATCATCATTGAGAATACAAATATTACCAAGATTTTCTAAATAATGTCCTCAAACCCTAGGGCCCACATTGATTCAACATTCACTGGGCACAAGTGCTAAATACTAGAGAAAGAGTAGTAAATGCTGCATTTACTACATTACTTCTCCCAAGCATGCCCTCTAAAATAGTCACTCATTCATCTCCCTGTTCATCCTGCCTTCGGAATTACCATCTGCAATCAGTGTGCTAGGCTAAGAGGGACTCAAGATCAGTAAGATCCATGGAGTGTGCAGTAGTTGCTGGGCAAGCCACATCTCTGCAAAAATAGGAATCAGACATACCCTTAAGTAATGGAGACATGGGATTAAAGCTAAACTAAGAGAAGAGCAAAAACGAATCATGACACCACGATTAAACACCCATGACATCCATGACTGGGAAGTAGTACAAGACAAAGGGATTAGTTTTGTGCCTGACCTGTAAAAATTACTCTGAGTTCTTTGAAACCTGGGCTTTTTGTTGAAATGGCTGATTTCAGATCTGAGGCAGAAAAGGTACAAGGTGAGCCCAAGACATTCTTTTGGGCCAGAAAGCAAGGGAACATTCAGACAAATGTGGTGATGTCAAAAAGATTCAGGGGTCTTGAAGATAATTGGTCACTTTAACCTACTGAATAAAGCAAAATCCATGAACCCATAGTGATGACAGAAAAACAGAGAGCGAGAGAGCTTGTGTACAGGGAGAAAGCCTGTTTTTACAGAAAGATGCCAGGTCATGAATGTATTTAAGAGAAGGAATCATAGAGTTGAAAATCACTATTTTTGCAATCCCCAGTGTAATAGATTCAGACAGCAATCATTAATGGATGCTAAAAACACCGAGTAAAATGTTATTGATACTTTCAAAGTATCACCCCACCAATGACAGTGGAGAGATTTGCCAGTCATCACTCTTTAACTGTCATCCCTGATAGTGAACAACCTGACGTGACACAATGACGCAACTCCTATAATTACCTTTGCACATGAACACCGAATTAAGGCATTAGAACCAGCCTCTACTTTACAGAAAATAGAGATGAGCCAATTAGGACAAATGAACAATCAGACAAATCCAGAATGTACAATATTCTAGCCTGAACTTGTGGCTCATGCCTGTAATCCCAGCACTTTGGGAAGCCGAGGTGGGTGGATCATTTGAGGTCAGGAGTTCAAGACCAGCCTGGCCAACATGGTGAAACCCCATCTCTACTAAAAATAAAAAAATTAGCTGGGCATGGTGATGGGGGCCTGTAATCCAAGCAACTCTGGAGGCTGAGGCAGGAGAATTGCTTGAACCCAGAAGGCGGAGGTTGCAGTGAGCTGAGATCACACCACTGCACTCCAGCCTGGGTGTCAGAGTGAGACTCCATCTCAAAAAAAAAAAAAAAAAAAAAGATGGGGGATGGATGGGGGACTGTTCTGAATTAAAAGTAGTCAGAGACATGCCATAGCCAAGGGCAATGGGTAAATCTTAATTGGCTGGTGGAGTAGGGGGAAAATAGCTACTTGTTTCAAGACATTCTTGACTATGTCTATTTGACTATGTCTAATTTGACTATGGACTGAAAACTAGATAAATGTTAGAGAATTGTTAACTTTGCTAGATGTTATAAGGTCTCATGGTTAGTTGAAAACGTCATTATTCTTACAGATGCATGCTTAAGTATTTTGGAGCAAAGTATGATTAACCAGAAATGGCTCAATTTAAAAACTACACATAAACAAGCTGGGCGCGGTGGCTCATGCCTGTAATCCCAGCACTTTGGGAGGCTGAGGCAGGTGGATCATTTGAGGTCAAGAGTTCAAGACCAGCCTGGCCAACATGGTGAAACCCCATCTCTACTAAAAACAAAAAAATTACCTGGTGTGGTGGCACGCACCTGTAGTCCCAGCTACTTGGGAGGCCGAGGCAGGAGAATTGCTTGAACCTGGGAGGTGGAGGTTGCAGTGAGCCGAAATGGTGCCACTGCATTCCACCCTGGGCGACAGAGCAAGACTCCATCTCAAAATAATTAATTAATTAAATAAAATAAAAACTACACATAAACATACAAAGCTAATGAGGCCAATGTCAGCTGATGAATCTAGGTGAAGGTTATGTGTGTATTCACTGTACTACTCTCTTTTTCTTGTTTGTATTTTTTAATAAAAAAATAGAAGTATAGAAATTCTACATGAGAAAAAAAGTTGAGTTCTTTGGATTCTCCAGTCACTGAAGAAACAAGCAACTATTAGAATAAATCTGATCACTTTTGAATTTTGCATTTTGGCATTCAAATGTTTGTGCAGTTTGTAAAACATGCAAAATGCCTATAAATTCAATGCTATAGATTGAAGTAGCAAATATCTGTATCTGAAGTTGCTTACATGTACATTAACTATCTGAAAACATACATTTTTATGTTTTAAAAAATCTATTTTTCTGAATTAGCCAAGCATATTGTAACCATGTATTATATTTACAATGGGGTAATATGAAACATTAACATCTGACTTTTCTACTTCAAATAACCACACTTCTAATTAGGTGTTAAGTGTAGTTTCTCAATTACCATTAAGTAAAAATTTGACACAAAAATTAACATGAAACGGACAACTGACTTAATAAAAGCTAAAACTATAAAACTCCTAGAAGAAAACAAAGGAGAAAGTATTTGAAACTTAGTGATAGGCAAAAATGTCTTAGGACACAAAAAGCACAAACCATGAAAGAAAACATTGATAAGATGGACTTGAACAAAATCCAAAACTTTCGCTCTTCCTAACGCCCTGTTAAGAAACTAAAAGGGTAAGTCACAGACTGGGAGACTATATTGCTAATACAAACCTCTTAACAAAATATTGTTATTCATCCCTCTCACCTAGACTACTTCAGCAACCTCCTACCTGGTCTTCCGACTCCCACCCTGGCCCTGCAATCTATTCTTCATTCAACAGCCAGACTGATCTTTAAGTTAGGTCATACTGTTTGCCTGCTTAAAATCATCCCATGGCCTCCTACAATATATGGAATTAAATCTACACTCCAATCTTTGGCAAAAAGCCTGCATGCCCACTCTTACAGTTGCATTTTCTATCTCTTGCCACCCACTCAAACACTATGCTCTGGCCATAATGGCCACTTCCTATTTTGCTCATATTAAAAGCTTAACTTGCTGCTCCGTCTGCCAGATATTCTTTCTTTGCATGCCTGACCAGCATTCTCCTTGTCACAGCTCAAGTGTCACCTCACTGAGGCATTCCCTGACATGACCTCTCCAGTCACCCTATCCCCGTACCGTCTTCTTTACTTACCCTACCTGAATCTTACTTTAGTCTTCTCCCCTGGAAAAAGGTTAAATCCATAAGAGCAAAAGGACCTCTGTTTTGTCCATTGGTACATGCCCCGTGTATAGTGCTTGAAACATAGTAGATGCTTCAAGGTTTTTTAAATGACTCATGATGTACCCACTATATGCCAGGCACTGTGCTGGGTAGTTACTGGCTGAATGGTTTAAATGTGTTGCTCAAAGCCCTTTTTTCATCCTATTACCCTGTTTCAGAGAAAAAAAATTTATATTCCTAGATCTATTTAAATAGCTGAATGCTTCTTAGTATTTTTTTCAAGAGGCTAATTTACTTTCAAGTAAATTGCAAAATCTGAATTTCATCTCTATGTACGATCAGTGCTTTGACCTAAATGAAAATGTTCATGTTATTTTGAAAAACTCACCCTCAAAAGAATGACTAAAACAAAAGAAACAAAAAATAATGTGTTAGTGAGGACATAAAGCAACTAGAACTCTCATACATTGCTAATAAGTGTACATTAACTACTTTGGAATAGTGTTTGGCAGTATCTGTATACACCCTATGTCCTAGTAATGCACGTCTACATATATACCCAAAGGAAATGCATGCATATGTTCACCAAGAGATATGGACAAAACATTCATGGCAGCCCTATTCATAATAGCCAGGAGGTAGAAACTATTCAGATGTCAAATGTCCATCAACAAAATAGTTCTGTATACACACAAAGGATTACTATACAGCAATGAGTATAAATGAACTACACACAACATGGATGTATCTTATAAATGTTTAACAAAAAATAGCCAGATGCCAAAGAATGCATATATGTTATACTTCAATTAAACATTGATAGGGGAAGGCAGAAATTGAAAATACGTATTCTCACTATTGTGTTCTGGGGGAGTGCTCCCCTAGAAACTTTCCAACTGAGGTTCCTTGAAAGTTAGATCCTTGAATTATGAGGTGTTGGTATTTTAGGATGTAAGCTGGCCTACTACAATCACATTCTTTCGAAGTCATATGTTTTAAGTATTAAAGATACATGTGAATTCCCTATTCATCCACACATATTGAACAGAAATTATTTCTCTCAAAAAATATTTGCGGAAACTTAATATTGAAGGAAAATGGGACAGGGTCATCTTATGGTTGCAGGTAGTCCGGGTACACTGCCTCAGACTTCGGTTTTAAAAGAACTGATAGAAAGTAGATTAGTTATGGTTTGATATCCTGGTGTGTATCTCAGATTCCAACTCATTGACAATGTGACTTTGTGCAAGTTCCCTAAACATTCTGCAGCTATGCCCTCATTTGTGTAACAAAGATAATAATACCTATCTCACAAGGTGGCTTTGAGAGTTAAATAAGATGATGTAAGTTATTAATAGATACTCAATATTGTTAACCTCTCCCTTCCCTACCCTGTAAGGAGTATTGGGGTGGAAAAAAAGTCAACAAGCTGTTTGCTGCAATATATATATTTTAATTCAAAGTGAATCGACAGTAATACACCATAAATTCTTATTTTGACACTCACCAAAATAGTCACCTGGAAAACCCGCTTTTTGTGACAAAGTACAGAAGGCTTGGTCACATTTAAATCACTGAGAACTAGAGAGAAATACTATCGCAAACCGTAATAGACATTACATCCATAAAATTTTCCCAGTCCTTATTGTAATATTGCACAGTGCAATTGCTACATGGCAAACTAGTGTAGCATAGGAGTAAAAGCAAAAACAAATAAACCAAAGAAAGAAAGCCACAAGTCTAAAATTGTTAAACAATTAACAGTTCAAACTTAGTAATCAAATCTGTATCATTGGATTCATTAAAACAAATCTTCCTACACCTTGCAGTGTATGATTTAACTTTTACTTAACACAGTCCAAGTTTAAAATTAGCAGATTTTAAAAATGAAAATGTTTTGCTAATACAGTAACATATTTAATTAAACACGCTGGAGGAAAAAAAAAACAACTAAATATCAGGATATTTGATTTAAAAAACATTTTGCAAATTAAAATAGTATGCAAATATGCAACTTGGAAATCATGCAGTGTTTTATTTAAGAAAGCATTAAAACCGAAGAAAACTGGTCAAAATGGTTTTTAAAAGGTATAAATCCAGATTACTTTGTCAATATGCTAAATTAAGAATTTAGCAGAATTTTGAAATTTATTTTAAAATACATTAAAATGCCCATGATTGCAATTAAAGAGCAGTGTAGTTAACTGGGATATACCTTTATCAAACATTAATACTGTATTATGAAAATGTTGAAGTTTACCATTTATGTCAATTTAACAAGACTGCTTTAAGTCTTGGAAATTAAAGACAAAAAATACAACATTTCAGGGTAGTAAACATGGCCCTAAACAAAAAGAAAACTCTGTCAGTTTTGTACCTGTTGTGATACAATCAATCCTTTGCACTTGGTGTTTCTGAAACAATGTGTTGCCAGCATTGATTCTTTCCTAAGAAGTAAGCAGATCCTAATAATCTGCTGGAACATATAAATAAAATTAGAAGGCTGTGGAGGGCAGCAAATTTACTTAAATAGTGACCCCATAAATGTGTCATCTGTAAATAATCTTTTAAATTAATCTTAGGCTACTCCTTTTTAAACATTTAATTTTTTATATATATATATTTCTATTTGTATAAAATGCATAGAATTAATTACTAAAAACACTGAAACTTGTGGGGAAAATTAAGTCCTTCATTTTCAGTGTGACTAAAAATGTACTGCTGGTTTTTACTTTATGATCTAATACTGTAATTTTTAAAATCAATTTCAGGCACATTTATTTCATTGATGATTATTAAATAAAACACTGCTTGTGTTAATGGAGTGAAGAAAACTTATCCATTATTAGCTTATTGTGAACGCTGTACTAGAGCTGTACTAGTGGTATACAATTCATTTATCAAAGAAACGCTGTAAATCCAAAACATCTAGAGTTTTACACTCCAATGCTTTGTACTGTTTATTCCAGTAAATGCTGTAAGATTATATTCCAGATTTTTAAGGAAAAAAGTTAAGTCAAGCCTGCAAGATACAGCTTTCTCAAGTGTCTACAATGCCAGTATGAAAATAAAAAATTAAGTTACACTGATACATCCAAGTTTTTTTAATATGCAGTGATGAGCACAAACATTAATAGAGATAAAATACTGATGCAAATAACACACCCCAAAGTAACAAATGCAATTATTTTCCACCATTTACAATACAGTAGTTACAATGACACTCCAAACAGAAAAGCAAAGTAAAAAATCAAAACCCCAATTTCTATTCATGTAATTAGACTTATACAGAAATTAGAAGGCTAAATAACAACTAGTTAATCACCTAATTTCACAGCTATCTGAAGTGGCAATCGTTATATAGCAGCTTATCTATGATACATTCAAGATAAATGATACAATTTATTACTTGCCTGTAAGCTAAAACACAGCCTCAATTTAATACCTTTCCTTAAATTCCACCTTTACACTACAATATACTTGAGGTCTATGCAAAAAGTAGCTACCTTTATATAGGAAATGGATGATTAAGTCTTTGGTGCTGTAAAAGCAACTTCATTTAAACAGACATAACCACTACCATCACCACCACCCAAAAAAGAAAAAAATGTCGGGGAAGGGGGGAACTCAACACACTTCCTAGAAAGAAAAAAAAGCATGTAATTTCTGTCCCTGACGGAATGTATTAAATAAGCAAACATCACCAACAAGCAAAACAAGTACTGCAATGTAAAAATACTTAAAAAAAAAAAAAACCCTCTCACATGCATAAATCAAAAATTGCACACAAAGAACTCACATCTTTTCAAGCTTCAATAGTAAAAGTTCTGCTACTATTTATTAAATACTGCATGGTTTGCCCAAGCTAAGATAAAACCACATCATGAATCAATGAGCATTTTGCATTTTATTATCTACCCAAAGTCATGCCTACTGTACCTCTAAACATTTTATTAAGTCCAATTATACAGCAAACACTCTCAAAATAAACTTAGATTGTATTGCAGTTTCACTTAACAGTATATAAAATGCTGTGCTGTGACAGTTATCAACTATCCATTAGATACTGAATCAATTTTTCTTAAGCACTACTAACTGCTTGCTTTTCTTGAAGCTAGATCATTCTGAAAAATCAGACAGCAGAATTCAGCTATAGCAAACATGCTGCCCTCTTAATAAGGAAAAAAACAGCTACTACCTGAAATCATACCACACAAAAACAAAAATGAACATTACGCTATCAAAAGGAAACTAAATAGTAGGTCTGAATTTTAAGTGCTGCAGTCCTCAACATTTATATATAGGTAATAACATTAACAACCTCAAATATTTAAGGCACTATGTGTAGGAACGGTTTACAATGCAGCTGAGATTATTAGAACAACATTTAAGAGCAAAGTCTAGGCAACATTTTGCCCATGCAAAAGACACATGCAAATGTAAAGAACAATAGCTCAATTTCTTAGGTAAGTGACCCAACATTTATACACTAAGACACGGATAATACAATTCACTTGTATGCTGTAATTCTGACATATGTGCATCTGTTGCTCTAAGTCTGTACACAGAATGGCTTCCCAAATGTAGACGTGTCTTGCACTAGTTAGAAGGCAATTTATAAAAAATAGCAGGAGCAAAACTGGACTTCTGCTCCCATAAGTCACCTGTCTAGAGTTACTACATAAGAAGATAACATGACCAAAGACAAGTTATACCAAATGTGCAAAACACATCAAAAGTGAGTTTTTAAAGCTCAAAGTTGTTTAAATTGCACCCAAGTCTACATGATTCAAAAATAATTTTCTTGTGCCATGGCTAATATTAAATACCATGTTTTTATTTTTAATCAAATGTTTGTATCATTGAGCTTCCCCAATATACTGTTTTTCACATATATGGATACTGGCTGAGTTTTGTTGGACTCAGTGGAAATCCAGTATATGCAGGTGATGCTGCAATGTAAGAATGTGGTGGGAAGATTGGTTTGTACTGAGTCTGATGAATGGTTGGGGATGGTAACAGACGGGGATTTAAGCCCACTGGGACTTGGTGAACTATGCCACTGGGATGGGAGATATTATAAGTTGGATGCTGTAACATAGGTCTTGAGGTACACGGAGAGGCTAACAGGTGGGCCACTGGTGCAGCACTACTGAGGGTGGCTGATGATGGGTATGGAAGTAGAGTAGGCTGTCCTCCGAGGTGTGTATTTCCAGCCAGGTGGGCATGCACTGCTGTGTGATTGGGACTTCCATGAGAAAGAGTGAATGGATTACTGGTAACACTAGTAGGAATATAAGCTTGCTGTCTTCTGTGCCCAAAGTTTCCATTCCACTCTTGATGCCCAGATCCAAAGTGCTGAACCTATCCACAAAGAAAAAAAAAAAATGACTGAATAACATACCTTAAAAGATAAAAGGAAAGAAAGAAAGGGAAATTACAATATACCCTTTGTGATTGATAACTCATAGTGGATCTCTCAGAACTAACTTATACTAAGAATAACTAGAGGAGAGAAAAATATCAATTCCATATATATTAGTATTAACATTTTAGTATTTATTACTACATATTATTATAATATAAACACTGCTATTACTGCTGCTAGTACTACCTATTACTATCCCCATCACTACTAACAGCTACCATTTGTGGAGCACTTCTTATATGTAAAGCTAACATTTACATACACAATGTTATTTACTTCTAAAACAACCCATGATATAATTACGATTCCCATTAACTGTGCTCCAAATCAGATTTGTTGAAAAGACCTGGCCAAGGTAATATATATATATAGTACATGGCAAAACCAAGATTTGAATCCCCGTCCAACTCCAGTATCTGTGATCTTTTCTTTTCCCAACTGAAACACAACCGCCAAATATAGTGTTGAATAAGATGGAAAGTATTCAGGAAGGTTAATGATGTTCTGAGATAACAGACACACTCTGTTAATATTATGTAAGAGAACCTAAGGACTTAATCTTTCTGAAAAAGGCTACAAGTTCTATGGATAATTTGCTTAATTATCCTATTATTAAGCCAGTTACTCTTTAGCCACTTGGGATAATGAGAAGGGAAAAATTCATTAACACTACATACAGTTTCAGAAGCTTTCTCCTCCACGTGAAAAACAACTGCTAAATTTGAATCCCACAGACTCCTACATATCCACAAATGAACATACCTGACTGAAGTTCAAATGCTGCTGCTGGAATGCTGATGTCAATTTTTGCTGACGAGTACCCACTGCAGAAGGCTGGTTTAATCTTCCAGGGGCAGATCGTCCTTTTATTAATGGCTGGCATATAGAATCTGGCGACGAATAAAATATTAAAGAGTTTATGCTTTTTCCTTTTCAAATAAAAAATTAGCAAAGTCTTTAGATATTTTACACAATAGTGATTTGAGAGCCTTAAAATTAAATAAAATCAAAGGAGAGGTCATGGTTTCCAAGCACTGGATAATACTAGAAGATTTCCTCTGTACAATACATAAGGCAGGGTCAAGTCAAAATTCAGAGATGACTTTGGCAACTGCATTCTCAGATTTTCCTAAATTAAGACCGTATTTAAAGGACAACCAGAGAAATGGGAGGACTCAACTTACCTGTGTTTGCCATATGCTCATCGGCATTTAAGCCATTTTCTAGTTCCACTGGTGGCACCACAACAGAACAGACAGCTGGCTTGGTTTCTGTGTCAGCAGAGGATACCAATTCTGTGTTTTCATGAGTGTCCTCCACAAAAGTGCTCTCTGCAAATGGACTGTCATGCCCGGAAGAGTCAGATGTCGGAGAGCCATCCACCGTATCACAACTACTTTCTTGCTCTTCATCTGACATACTACAAAAAGAAAGCATTTTTTATGAGTGATATTTTTTTCCAACATTAAATCTAATGTTAAGTAATATTCAGGCTCCAGTGAACTGATGAGAACATTATTCAGTTATTTTATATATAATTACACCTTTTTCCTTGTCCAATAGCACTTTTTCATAAAATTTCTAGACCCTTAAATTAATTCTCTGTTCCAACTGCCAAACCTAATTCTGTTCCATTTCAGGAACATCATTTTGGCATTTTTTTTTTCTTCTTTCCCTTCCCATTTGATCCTTAGTAGCAGCTCATAAAATTCCTCTTTATAAATTCCAGATAATTTCATCAAGACATGACAAAAGAGGCACTGCTCTGGATAATTTAAATGAAATATACAAACATATATGTATGTGACTTGGCTATTTCAAATTAAATTCTAACATCAGGATATGTGCCTCTGCTGGTAATTTGGGTCCTTGTACCTAACCAGGTATCTGAAAGGTATCCCCACACCTCTGAAGGCCTAGACAGAGCCCCATATTTCTCATCTCTTCCTGACACTCTTGGGCCCTGACAATCTCTCTCTCCTTGGGATTTCTACAGCATTTATTGTCTGTTTCAACCACTCATTCCATACTTACTTACGAATTTGAAGCATCTCTTTTTATACATATTTTTATTTATATATCTTATACGTATATTTGTTTATATATATTTTACATGTGAATGTATAGTTATGTACATTATCAATTTTCAAACCATATTATAAGCAACTTTTAAGAAGATACATTAAAATTTCCTTATATTTTCCATAGAGCTTTGGCTATAAGAATGCAATATCATATTTCCTAAGGAAAAAGATGTGTAAAATTAAAACTTAAAATTTTTCAAATGTTTGTTGCCACTAAAATAAGACTTTATTTCTTTCTTTCCTTCCCCTCCTTCCTTCCTTCCTTTCTAAGAGATAGGGTCTTACTCTGTTGCCCAGGCTATAGTGCAGTGGTGTGATCATAGCTCACTGCAGCCTCAAATTACAGGGCTCAAATAATCCTCCTGCCTCAGCCTCCTGAGTAGCTAGCACTACAGGCATGCAACACCACATCCTGCTTTTTTTTTTTTTTTTAATTTTTGGTAGAGGCGGGGTCTCACTATGTTGTCCAGGCTGGTCTCGAACTCTTGGCCTCAAGTGATCCTCCTGCCTTGGCCTCCCAAAGTGCTGGGATTACAAGTGTTGGCCACTGTGCCTAGACTGTGGCTTATCTCTCAATGCGTTAGTAAATCATTCTGCTTAGGACAAGCTTACTATCTTAGCAGTGGTACATGTCGCTGGCCAAAGGATGGGTAAGCCAGGTTAATATGGATAAAACCATGCAAATCAGTCACCAATGGGAGAAAAAAATCATAGTGGATGTCCTGTAGACAGTGGGCCAGTGAGTACTTCATTATGCAAAACATTCCTTTTTAATTTTGCTAAAGTATATGTTTTTATTCCAAATTTAAGTTACAATAGTAGTCTGTGGGGCTGAAATTAAGAATGTGGCTTTTTTATCCTTTCAAAAATAGATTATTTGGCTGGATGTGGTGGCTCACGCCTGTAATCCTAGCATTTTGGGAGGCTGAGGCAGGCAGATCACCTGAGGTAAGGAGTTCAAGACCAGCATGTCCTGGTGAAACCCCATCTCTACTAAAAATACAAAAAATTAGCCAGGTGTGGTGGCAGGTTCCTGTAGTCCCAGCTACATGGGAGGCTGAGGCAGGAGACTCACTTGAACCTGGGGAGGCGGAGGCTGCGGTGAGCCAAGATCACACCATTGCACTCCAGCCTAGGTGACAGAGCCACACTTCATCTCCTCCCACCCGCCCCTCAGCAAAAAAAGATTATTTAGTTAGGTATGGTGGCTCATGCCTGTAATCCCAGCACTTTGGGAGGCCAAGGTGGGAGCACTGGTTGAGCCCAGGAGTTCAAGACCAGCCTGTGCAACAGGGCAAGATCCCATCTCTACAAAAAAAACTTAAAAATTAGCCGAGCATCGCTGTGCGCACCTGTGGTCCCAGCTACTCAAGAGGCTAAGGCAAGAGGATTGCTTGAGCCTGGGAGGCAGAGGTTGCTGTGAGCCGAGATCATGCCACTGCATTCCAGCCTGGGCAACAAAGCAAGACCCTGTCTCAAAAACAAACAAACAAACAAACAAACCTGTGTTTATAAAAACTGATCTAGTTCAAAAATTGTGTTCAAGATAGAAGTCACTGTGGTAAACTGGCAGGTACTTATTAAACAACAGAAAGAAATCGTAGGCTTTTTAGTAGACTTACTATTTATTACACACTACTATTGAGATTCTTTTACCTATTCGGTCTCTTGCAGGGGGATGGGCTGGACTGCCCTGAGGAGCTGGTACTCAGAGTACTATCAGGACTACTTAATGAACACATCCGATCAATATTCAAAGTGCTCTGGCAAGCTTCACAATCTAGACTACCTTTACATCTAGTGGAAGAGAAAAGGGAAAAACATGAGTCAAATACAAGAAGATACTCTCCAAATAGCCAAAATTTATATTCTTTAATTAAGGATATGAAACTGTTAAGAATGACCTACATGGACAAAAAGTTAAAGCTTACAGATACAAGGAAAATGCTATAATAATCGTGCTAAATGTTATTTAGAAAGTTCCCTGTCTAGAACTGGGTTATCTAATTTAAAGGTTTTACTCCAGAGTACATTGACAAACAAGAAATAAGTCACAGAAAGTTGTTTTTCGGCACACCAAAGGATGCCATCTATATCCTTTGAGGATGCAGCGTTTGGCACTTACTCTCTGAGTGAATGTCTCTGGGAAGTCTCTTCCTCATCAGTGTCACTGCTGATAGTGATGACACTCACTGCAGGACTCGGGGAGTCGGCAATAATGATGGTTTGCCGCTGTTTGTCTGAAACTGATGAATCAGAGTCCTGTCTGATAGATGTTTCACAGCAATTTCTTGCCTCTCCTTCTGAGTTCTGATTGTCCTGTGTTTCTATACAACTTACTTCCTCGACATCTTTCCCATTAATTATCTTTGGAGAAATAAATGCTGAATGTGGGATATTGGTATTCTGTAATGAATTACTCCTGCAACCAAAGGAATAATTTATAATTTCTATAATCAAAATATGTATAATCAATTGTCTAAGGTATCTTGTTAAACCAGAAAATGAGAACCTTCACTTGTTCGAGTTCATGAATATAACACACTAACAGATCTTGAGTTTTTGTGAAATATAAAATAGCTCTAGAAATATCCATGTAGACTGCATTTACATACATTTAAATAGTTGCTTTTTGGTAAATGTGCTATCTGAATGTCCACAATTGCTACATTACAGGTAGATAATAAATCAAAAGGGCAATAAAGACAATCTTACCAACTGAAAGCATTTATTTCCTCTCTTCCTGGCTCCCATTCCATTAGTTTTACCAAAATACCTCTGAGAAATTGAGAAGGGAGCTGGCTTAGTGTTTGTAACAAAGCTATAAAAGAGGTCATTTTGAATACAACAGAGTGACCCTTTAGAGTACATGCAAAATTCATTTAAAAGATTCTCAAAATGCAGAGGAAAGCTAAAGCACCAATACCAACCTGTTCTGGCACTGTTTATTTTTCTTGGTAGTGGCAGGCTGAGGCCAGACAACATGTGCAATCCCCACACTAACTGGCTGAGGGGCAGATAAAGTTATCTGATTGGTCAGAAGAGGCTGCGGCATCACTGAGTTATAATGATTGCTGCATGAAATCATCTTCCTAGGGAGAAGTTCAGAACAATGTTTTTAATCAAGATCTTTCTTTAATCAAGATCTAGTCTGCAAACTATTCACAAAGTACTTTTGTTTTCAGCTTACCCCCAGTCTCCAAGCCTGTGTGAACCAGCCACACTCTCAGAAGTTAGTGTAGTAGTAGCAGGAGCCAGGGGTGTCACCTGTTGCCAGGCAGGCACCAGCATCTGCTGTGTTCTACCAGACCACGTCTGCTTGCAGCAAAGCAAAACAATAGAAAATAACAAGTTATAAGTAATTGAACTTTACCATATCTTAAACTCAAAACTATCTAAAAGTAACAGCTAACAATTATAAACATTAAAGTCCATAACCTACAAAATGGATTAAATCCCTATCCAGGTCATTTTCACTATTTCCCAAAAGCACAAGCTGATATATGGCAAAGAATGAATTATTACCAACCTGAGAAAGAACTCCTGGTCGGATCTGTAGTGGCTGCACAGCTGGGGCCTGAGTTACAAGTGGAACTGTATTATCTACCCTTATTGAATAACTGGTGGGTTTACCATGTGTTGCAGGAATACCTGTGAAACAGAATAGTTATCAAATAAAAGAAAAAATCTTCCTCTTATTTAACTTATACAATTATTTTAAATGTCAAGAATTGCTTAGATTCTGACAGATTTTTTTTTTTTTTGAGACAGGGCCTCGCTCTGTTGCCCAGACTGGAGCACAGTGGCATGATCCATACTGTGGCCTCAACCTCCTGGACTCAAGTGGATCCTCCCACCTCAACCTCTTGAGCAGCTGGGACCACAGGCATATACCATGCCCAGCTAATCTCTTTAATTTTTGGTAGAGACAGGGTCTATGTTGCTCAGGCTGGTCTTGCACTCCTGGGCTCAAGAGATCCTCCTACCTCGGCCTCCCAAATTTCTGGTATCACAGGCATGAGCCACCACACCCAGCCCTGATTGTGGAGTTATGATACCATTCTCTGCATAAAATTTTCATAACACTAACAGAGCAATCTAGTAGCAAAATGAGGTACTTCTTGTCTACTTTGTGATATACATCATTCCAAAAATTATCATAAAGCTTCCCTTTCTGTTTCAAAATGCATACTACAAAGTTGAACGATTTAATTTTCTTGAAACTTCTCATCTCCGAAGTTTGCTATTGAAGCTTTATTTTCCTTTTTAAATAGTTCAGTCACCATGATAAAGAACATGGAAAGAAGAATCTGGCTTAGTATGCTGACAACCTAGCAGGTGAAGGTTCTTCTTTTCATACAAACTTTTAGCTATGCTTAGTTATCTTCTTCTTTAAAACTGTGATAGAATCTTATGCTCCTGTCACCAAAACAGAAATACATCACAACTTCATAATTTAATGGACATAATGGTTCACATAATGGATGAAAATTCCGGGATGGCACACTCATTTCAACCTCCAAAGGAAAGGCAAAACTAACCTATTTACCAATTTGATGATAAAACTAAGGTTTCCGCAATGTGGCTTAATTGACTAGTATTCTTAGCAGAGAGCTGAAACTCCAGAACAAACATGCTACCATTTTGCTTGCCCACTAGGAAAATTAGAAAGCAGGATTACCAGACATGTTAATCCTGTTAATGTTACTATAATGTTAATATAGCTGTTTTCACTGCAAAGCACCTTGCAAATATTAAGTCTTATAATATTGAACTCTGAGAGAGCAAAGTAGTATCACATTCCAGCTTAAAGTTTTGACAAGATTTTAGGGACATCCCCGAAGATCAGAAAGTACATTAATGAAAATCATTTCAGCACTTCATAATTCCAGTTTATTGCAGCAGTTACTTTCAACATGGGCTTGCAAATTATTTAAATATAATATAATCAATTTGGGGATAAATGTGATGTTGAGTGTTTCTCTTCAGGCATAAGAGAAAAATACTACAATTGTTTTCTTTCTCTATTGTAAAACAACCTCAAATTTTCTATTTCACAGATGTAAGTGTTAATCCTAAAGAGAATGTCCATTTCAGCCTGTTTATTTTCTTCACTGAGACTGTTACCTTACTACCATACCAGGGTATTCTACTCTCTGTGCTCCACCTAAAGAGCCAGGTATGAGTCAAGTTTAATAAAAATCTTCTTACTCCTGCTAAAAAGCCTGTCTTGATCATCCAATTCTCCAAGACATGGAATATAAGCACACCCAGGCAGTGTAGATATATTGCAATATATAGACAATCTCTTCAAGAAAAAAAAAATCTCTTCACTTTGACAAGGATGAACAGAGAGAGCAAATTTCCAAATCTGAACAAAAATCTCATTGTCTGTAAATTCTCTCCACAAGCAATGCCTTAAGATGAGAAGAATTCTCCTATATACCCTCTCCACAGGAGATCTAATTTTTGATCAGATTCAACAGTGGGATAAGATCTTAATTTTTGTATAGTTAGTTATTAGGTTAGCTGAAACTTTATCTTTGATTATATTTGCTTTAATACTTGGAAGACAAGACATAAAAAGCTTATGAATATTATTTTAGTATAACAGAAGAGAATTTTGCTGGAATATATTTTACTCTAATATAGTAGTTGTCATCTAGAGGGGATGAATACCTAACTTTTCAGGTCACTAAATAATTTTAAAAGCTTGTTTAATATATAAAACACTCAGATGTTAAATAAAAGCTTAGCTGATTTTTAAAAATAAACTGACTTTTTAAAATAAGCACAGTCTTATGGATATAGTATTTATATACCTATACCTACATATTATAATATCTAAAATATATTAAATGCATTACTTAAACATGATAGCTCCAAAGTAAAATTTTTAAGTCAAAGGGATAAAGTTTATTTTAAAATACAAACCACAATGGTACCATAATTACTATCTCAAATAGCTGCCCAATAATTATTTTTAAATGTTTCTTGTAAATGGATTGACACATTCTGAAGGGAAAGGGTAAATGAAGGGGAGGGGCAAGAAGCCCAATGCTGAAATTTTCTACATTACAATTTCTATATAACATCTACCCGTTAGATACTAAGACTGTAGAGGGAGTGCTTTCATTTCTAAGGCAGACACTCTACTAAGAAGAGAAACAACATACTTACAGAGCCTGCCTGGCCTGTTGCTGCAACTGCACCTGTTATAAAAGCTAAAACATACTGTGCTTCTTCTCACTAGTAATTCTAATTCAAAAGTGCTGTTCATGACATTTAATGGGTTAATGAGTCTGTGACAGTAATTCTTTTCCTTCGATTATCCCATATTGTAAACCACTGATATAGTTGTTACTTTATGTACAGAAAGGTTTCTAACTTTTCATCAATTATAAGCCATATAAAAAGATAAAAGATTTTTCTAACCTCATTGAAATGTTTTAAGAATTATGCTCAATGCTGTTTAGAAATGTGTCTCCGAAGTCTCTTTAAGTTTTTGCCAAAGAAGCTAGGCTCTGAAAAAAAACCTGCTATTCTAAATCTTCGTGAAATATACCACAGTATAAGTGGTGACCCTCAAACTGATTTTGGTACATGGGAGGGATTACTAGAACCAAATAACCTACTTGTTAGTACAGATTATAAATTTAAGTGAAAATGCATTTGTCAAGATAACACAAGTAATAACTGATTAAAAAAAATTTTTAAACAGCAATCTTGCATGCTGAAGTATTTAGAAGTAGTGTCATAAAATCTACCATTTAATTTCAAATAGTACATGTATGTGCACTGTAGGTAGGTAGGTAGATTGATAATGCAAATATGGTAAAATAGTAACACCTGTTGAATCTAGGGTAGAAAACATATTATTCTTTCAATTTTTCTGTATGTTTGAAATTCCTATAATAAACACTTGGGGGAAAAAACTGAAAAACACAACAGCATTATATTGTTAGCATCTATTATTCCTAACACTACAATGATGTGGGCATTTTTATTACCAGAAAGTAATAAAAATGTCACTGTTACAGATACTCACAGACCACCACTGTGGCCACTGGGCCACAATTTCACCTTCAGAATCAACCATCTAAGTTGCCCTTTTATTATACTTTCTATGATATAAATCCTTCTCCCAATGATACATTACTTGAAAATCCAATATATAAAAACAATGAAAATAAAGCTACCCCGATAGAACAACAGTAACTAAAGATCTGACCTGTTTTCACATCTCTTATTACCAGCAAATCAAGTCAACAAACATATTCTTGGTTTTTTATTTGGTACTGAGGTAAATATTAAAATAAAAAAAGTTTTAGAGTTGCTTGAATGCTTAAAATTAAAAAATCAGAGGCTGGGCGCAGCGGCTAATGACTGTAATCCCAGCACTATGAGAGGCTGAGGCAGGCAGATCACTTGAGGTCAGGAGTTCGAGACCAGCCTGGCCAACATGGTGAAACCCTGTACATACTAAAAATACAAAAATTAGCCAGGAGTGGTGGTGCATACCTGTAACCCCAGCTACTTGGGAGGCTGAGGCATGAGAATCACCTGAACTCAGGAGGTGGAGGTGCAGTGAGCCAAGATCGTGCTACCACACTCTAGCCTGGGCAACAGAGCAAGACACTATCTCAAAAAAAGACACACACACACACACACACACACACACACACACACACACACAAAATCAAATAATCCTTCAGAATCAAAATATATTAGAGTTAGAAATGGCCAATATATTATCTATTCAGGCTATTTCCTTCTACTAAGGCTGAAATAAGTAAACAGGCTAGCCTACAATGATACAGCAAACAGGAGAAACAGAATTAGATTCCAGGTGTCCTGACTCAGCACCAACTGTTTTCATTTACTCTGTACAGTATCACCACTAAGTTGGACATGTTGGTTTAGGGCCCCATCTGTAATTGACCTCTTGCATTAACTAGATGTTAAAGCTTAGCAAGGACAAAATCCCAGGAAAGGACTTAGGAAGTAGGGTTTTAGTCCAGTTATTCCAGTAGTGAGGTTTGCTGCTATGATTCCCTAGAAACCACTAAGAGATTTCCTAGTTTAAGAATGTATAGCCAGCCAGGTATGGTGGCTCACCCCTGTAATCCCAACATTTTGGGAGGCCGAGGCAGGTGGATCACCTGAGGTCAGGAGTTCAAGACCAACATGGAAAAACCCCGTCTCTACTAAAAATACAAAATTAGCCAGGCGTGGTGGCGCATGCCTGTAATCCCAGCTTCCCAGCTACTCGGGAGGCTAAGGCAGAATTGCTTGAACCCGGGAGGCGGAGGCTGCAGGTTGCAGTGCGCCGAGATAGTGCCATTGCACTCCTGCCTGGGCAACAAGAGTGAAACTCTGTCTCAAAAAAAAAAAAAAAAAAGAATGTATAGCCTCTTCAAAGGTATTCTGTCACCCATTCCGCTTGAGGATTTAATTGGCTATTTTTATTTAATGAAGGGACATTAATGTAATTGAAATCAATCCATTATTTATTACCTAAGCTATCAATAAAGACTATAATATTTTGGGACAAAACTCTTTTGACCAAAATTTTAAATAACTGAGCTCTCAGTCACTTTTATGTTTAGTATTGGTAGCTAAATGTCTAAAACAGTGATACCCAGTATAGGCCAACCTGTAGCCCAAGTTCATTCATTCCTATTAAGGTATTTTATCATGCTAGACTCTACAGGAAATACAGTTATCATATGACCCATTTTGTTAGTGATGACTGTAACGGAGTTCCAGTCAAGAAATGAGTGTCACTGGTCTGAAGGCTTATTGAACAGCTTAAATTTTTTTTTTTTTTTTTTTTTTTTTGAGACAGAGTCTCACTCTGTCGCCCAGGCTAGAGCGCAGTGGCGCAATCTCGGCTCTCTGCAACCTCCACTTTCCAGCTTCAACCTCCATTTCCCAGCTTCAGCCTCCCGAGTAGCTGGGACTACAGGCACGCACCACCATACCCAGCTAATTTTTTGTATTTTTAGGAAAGCTGAGGTTTCACCATGTTGGCCAGGCTGGTCTCAAACTCCTGGCCTCAAGTGATCCGCCTACCTCAGCCTCCCAAAGTGCTGGGATTACAGGCGTGAAACACCACACTTGGCCTGAACAGCTTAAATTCAAATGTAGCACTAAATGCAGCAAAAATTATACAATATATTTAATGAACAGATTCCTAAACTTATTTTAAAATAAAGCATGCCTAGATTCAAAGCAAAATTTAAATAAAATAATACCTTGAATAGCTGGGGGACAGATAATCAATGTCTGCTGAAAAGCATCACCACAACCAAACTGAGCAGTTCCTGCCTGCAGAGGTATTCCATGGTGCACAACTGAATGAGCAGATGTGGTCAATGCCTGAAACAACGAGCACATTATATAGAGCAGTCTTCTAAATGAAATATACACGCTGTATAAATAGAATTCAAACACATTTCTTAAGATCATAATTCTACTATTAAAATGTGTCCAGAAAATGAGAACAAAAACAAGCTGCCGAAATTAAAATTTAAAAACCGATTCTACTGACCTCTACTTTTGGTAGAGTTGTGGCATAGAAGGGCAGGTGAAAGGTATTGAGAGAATGAAGAGAGGAATGGCAAAAAGTGAATCGGAGTAGATATGTTCCAATTATTACCTTGGAATTTTAAGAGATTTGGTAAAAACAGGTATAGTAAGACCTCACAGCACTGTACATTCTAACAACTGACACCAAACTTCTGTATATATCAAAAGTAAAATGCGCAATCATTAAAAAAAGACCCTAAGTTATTAATTACTACACATTCTTACCTGACTTCTTAATGTTCCGATTTTAGTAAAATTTGCAGTCAGTGTAGCAGTACTGCTTGAAGCAACTGGTCTTAAAAGTGAAGTTTTGTTGTGATTATTTGTGTCACATGAATTTAGGTGGGACTTACAAATATCCATAATATGAAAACAGGACTTTACACTGTAAAAGAAAAAGTGAAGGTATTACAGTATTATTTTAAAAGCTTAGTTTTAAATTGAGGTACATTGACAAAATAAAAAAATTATTCCTAAAAGAAAAAAATCCTAATTTGCACTTAATCTGCTTATTTCCAATAGTATTTCTAACAGGAAATCTTACCAGAAAAGATTAAGTTTCAGAGCAAGTAAAAGTATATATTCTGCAATATTTTTCTTAAAACAGTAAAACCACAGTAAGCATTTTTTGGTTAGCATGCAATAATTTTACGATCCCCTACACGAAAAACTTTTTCCGAAATTTCGAGATCTCCACACCACTAAATTAACAGTACCAAAGAGTTGCTATCATGTTACTTTCAAAGTGACTGTATATGAAAAACATTAGGACATTTTAAGTGTTTGAGGGGAAAATGTAACTGGGCTGTAGAAAAACGTAATTTTTAAGAACAATTCACAATGATAAATATTGGATTCATTCCCATGCCTTCTTCATTTTGTCTTTTTAAATACTGAAGGAAGCCATTTTAAGTCACTTAAATTTACTCCCTTCATCTCCCAAAATATGTCTGAGGTTCAAAGAATTTGTAAGATTTGGCCAGGTGCAGTGGCACACACCTATAGTCCCAGCACTTTGGGAGGCCAAGGTGGGTGGATCACTTGAGCCCAGAAGTTCGAGACCAACCTGGGTGACATGGTGAAACCCCATCTCTACGAAAAATTTGCCAGGCATGGTGGCGTATGCCTGTAGTCCCAGCTACTCAGGAGGCTGAGGTGGTGGGAGGAGCACTTGAGCCTGTGAGGCGGAGGTTGTAGTGAGCAAAGATTGTGCCACTGCACTCCAGCCTGGGCAACTGACAGAGCAAGACCCTGTCTCCAAAACAAACAAACAAACAAAACACAAAGAATTTGTAATATTTAAGGCCTTTGGAATTTTAGTATATATTCTTCCCTACTGACCTATGATCTACTGACCCATGAAAAACCTCCTTTTCTTCAAAATGCAGGAGAAAAAGAGGAAAAAGGAAAGCAAAAGTTGTGGGGAAAAAAAAATGTAAAATGGAAGTTGCACGACTCAAAATATGATAGAACCTACAGTGTAGGAAAACTGAAATGTGACTTTAAAGAGAAAACTGTTAGCATTTCCTTTTATATATGCCTGGTTATTAAGGTAAGAAAGTCATGTATAATAAAAACAAAACCACTCAGTCTTATTTTTAGTATCGCATTTTGGAGAAGGAACACTGGACTGCAATTCAGACTTGGGTTCTAGTTCCCTGACACTTACTGGTGTATGTGAACTTGGTCAAGTTAGCTTAGCCTCTTTTGACTCAGGTTACTTGTGTTTAATGAAGAAAAGTAATTTCTCTGATGCAGTCATTTTCTACAGACTTATTTTTTTTTAGAACCACTTTAAAAGATCTTAAAGTAACATACTGGTTGCTATGAGGGAAATCTAGAAGATGTTTCATATTAACAAAAGGATGGTTCAGGGTCTCAGCTGGAGTAATTCTTAAATCTGCATCAATCAGCAACATTTTCTTCAACAGACTAACAAATTCTCTTCTATCAGCTTTCTCAGCCAAAAGATCACTTCCTTCCAAATCCATCACTGTGTTCACCTAAGAAAATCAAAATTTCAAGCCATCAAGTAAAAATAAGTCACAGAGAGTAGTATAAATTCCACCGTTAAAAAATAAAACAAAAATCACAACACAGGAGAGGAGAGGGAACTACAATTATCTTAAAACAAAGAAGAACAAATAATATTAACAAATCCTCAAAATGTGTTGAGGTACCAAATAGGATTCAAAGCATAAAAGAAGTTTTTAAAAATTAAACAAATATCCATTTCTAATGAAATATAGGGAAATCTGTTGGCTAGGATTTTTCCTTTCAAAGCAAAAACTTTTTTACTAAAGAACGAATAGGTAAATTAAAATTTTGATAACGACAAATGCAATTTAGTTCCTGAAAGGTTGAAAATAGAATCAGTTTCATTTGAAAAACTTAAAAACAGCATGGACTCTGTAGCCATTTAAAAACTGAGTAACATGTTTTGGGCCCCTTGGCATTCAAGTCTACCATCTAAGCATGTAAGATGAACAAATGTGGCTATGGTACTCACATGCGCTACATCATCCAGACTGTTGAAAATGTATTTTCTGGCTTCTTTAGACTTCATTCCTGTCTCTGCCTCATGCTCTTCCAATGTCTTATTGCATATATCAAAGGGAAAAAAGAATACATTATTACAAATTTCTTTAATCCTGGCACATTTAGTCTAATATATTAAATATTCTAAGGCAAATAGTAATTTCAAAAGAGACACTATCAAAAATGTATTTTTTAAAGTATACGCAAAAAAAAAATGAGAAGTGCTTGGTTTAGGCCAAGAAAAATATTACAAATGTAACAAACCCCATAAAGAAAATAACTAGGCCGGGCACGGCGGCTCACGCTTGTAATCCCAGCACTTTGGGAGGCCAAGGCGGGTGGATCACGAGGTCAAGAGATCGAGACCATCCTGGTCAACATGGTGAAACCCCGTCTCTACTAAAAATACAAAAATCAGCTGCGTGTGGTGGCGCATGCCTGTAGTCCCAGCTACTTGGGAGGCTGAGGCAGGAGAATCACTTGAACCTGGGAGGCGGAGGTTGCAGTGAACCAAGATCGCGCCACTGCACTCCAGCCTTGCAACAGAGTAAGACTCTGTCTCAAAAAATACAATAATAATAATAACTGTTTATGAAGTTAATTATTGAGGATTTACTGATTCCTCCAAAGATCCTAGCACACTTGGGATATGTAGTAAGTGGTTAGATTCATTCCCTGTCCTATAAAGTGTAATAATGTAGAACTGAGAAGATAAACACACAACACAAATGTAGTTATACACATAAAAGTTTTTTTAATTTAAGATGAATTAATAATTATGTTGCTGAATTAGAGAGTTAGTGAAGTTATTCCAAGAGGGCTTTCTTCTTAAAGAAGGAAGGGGGCTGGGCACAGTGGCTCACACCTGTAATCCCAGCACTTTGGGAGGCCAAGGCAGGCGGATCACAAGGTCAGGAGTTCAAGACCAGCCTGGCCAACATGGTGAAACCCTGTCTCTACTAAAAATACAAAAATTAGCCAGGCATGGTGGCAGGCACCTGTAATCCCAGCTACTTGGGAGGCTAAGGCAGGAGAATCGCTTGAACCTGGGAGGTGGAGGTTGCAGTGAGCCGAGATTACACCACTGCGCTCCAGCCTGGGCAAGAGAGCAAGACTTTGTCTCAAAAAAAGAAAAAGAGAAAGAGAGAGAGAAGGACGGGGCCAGGCATGGTGGATCACGCCTGTAATCCTAGCACGTTGGGAGGCGGAGGTGGGCAGTTCTCTTGAGGTCAGGAGTTCAAGACCAGCCTGGCCAACATGGTGAAACCCTGCCTCTACCAAAAATATAAAAATTAGCCGGGCATGGTGGTGCAAGCCTGTAGTCCCAGCTACTTGGGAGGCTGAGGCAGGCGAATTGGTTGAACCCAGGAGGCGGAGGTTGCAGTGAGCCAAGATGGCGCCACTGCACTCCAGCCTGGGCGAGAGAGAGAAACTCCATCTCAAAAAATAAAAACTAAAAAAATTGAAAAAAATAAAATAAAATAAAGAAGGGCCAAAAATGAAAATTCAAAAAAAGGAAGAAATATAGTAAAATGTAAATAGACATGGAAGGTATTATCCATGCATATGAGGCATCTTAGAAAACTAGTCTTCTAAATATTCTATTTTTTAATGAATTACCTTTAATCTCCAACCAGAATGAGACATATCTGTTTCTTTGCAAAAAAATCTTGTGGATTTAGTACCCACATTTAACAACTGTTCTCCTGGCAAACCTTGAGTCTGAGAAATGTATCGAATCTGAAAAATAATTTACAGAACAGAATAGTTTATTCTTTCATGTGACAGAACACTTAAGTCAGACACTAGGCTATATGTTAGGTCAGGTATGAAAATACATAGTCTATGCCCTCAAGAAATGCACTGTCTAGTGGAGAACATATATGGAAAAAATTATAATGTGGAATTATAAGTATCATAATAAATGCACGCTTGATAGAAAAGGCATACCTAAAGTAATTGTGGTCAGGTAAAATTCTAGAAGAGGTGGTCCTCAAGTTTGGTGTTAAAGGACAAATAGGAGTTTGCACTGAAAGAGTGGGGAGAAAAACTATGCCAAGGTTATAGTATGTGTAAATATAGAAAATCAAGAGAGAATAACCTCACATTCAAAGACTGGAAGTACAGAGGGTCACTAACAGAGAATGGTAAGAGATGAAATTGAACTAGCAGGTAAAGGGCTTTATCAGCAAATTAAGAAATTTGGATTATATGCCAGGAGGTAATAATGGGAAACCACTGGAAAAATTTCAGCAAGAAATTGACAGCTTACATTTTAAAGAAATGTCTGACAATGGGTGAAGGGATAAGGCCAGAGAAGAGATGAAGAGGGTCTGAACTGAGAGACTGAATGGGAATAGAGAGGAAGGAATGGATTCAAAAGAGATTTAGATTGATAAACACTGGGTGAATTACTATGGTGGGAGTTTGGAGGAAACACTTTTTTGAGACACTGATATATACACAGCTGTGTCTCTTGGGGAAGAGGCATGGTAGTTGATGGGCTCTCCCAAGGGTGATACTAAAAAACTCCAGCTTCAGGGCTTCTGAACTTAATATTTCTGTTTGAAACATTCTTCCCCTAGATATCTGTATGGCTCTCTTGCTTCCTTCAGCTCTTGGTTCAAATGTTGCCTTATTGACCAGGCCTTCCATGACCCATCAATAAATAACGGCAAACTCTGCCCTTCTCAGTAACTCACCCACCATCCTCCTGGCTATATTTTTCTCCACTGCGCTTTTCATTATCTAATATTCTATGCATTTACTTTCCATTTTCTTACCTCTCCATGAGACTCTAAGTTCCATGAACGGAAGAATTTTTTTGTTTACTTATATACCCCCAGAGCCCATGAAAGTGCATGGTACACAGTAGGCCCTGAAATATTGATTCCCCCACTTAATGAGTGGGAAACACGGGGGATAAACAGGGGCTTAGCAAAGAGAGAGATCTCTGGGGGCTAAAATTGTTTTTCCATCCTTCCTTCTTACTAAAACTTGACTCCCCTAACCTGTATTTGAGAATAAGTGCAAAGATGTTTTTTTAACCTCAAAGACTCTGCTCCATCAATTAGTCCATCCTCTTCTGCATCTTCTATTTCTTCCTCCCTCTGAGCTCTCTCCCCACCAAATACAAAAATGTTCAATATCTTCTATCCTAAAAAAAAAAAGTAAACCTCCCTTAACTACTTAACTCTCTCGTCTTACCCTTAAAATAGTAGCCTATATTATTTCACTTCCCATTCACACCTCAACACACTGCAATCTGAATTTTAGTCTCATCACCCTCATGATATGGTATTAAGATAAGTAATGGCCTGTTAGTAACAGACATGTTTAATAATCACATATAAATCCTTATTTTACTTTGATACTAATGGCTACTACCATTTTACATAAAAATCGCTCAATTTCCACGACGCCATGCTTTTCTGGGTCTCTTCTACTTCCTGACAGTCTTTAACTCTGTTCCTCTGTTTGTTCTTTATATGACACTGCTTTCCAGAGTCTTGTCTTTCTTTTTTCCCTCTACAAGTCCTAAGTGCCCACAATTTTATCTCTAAATCTGCGCCTCAATCTTTGGCTCTAGCTCTGGAGCTCCAGGCCCAACCGCTTATTGAAACTTTCAACCTGGCTGGACTCTATATCTCCAACTGAATATATCCTAAACTGATTTGCCCCCAGATCTGCTAATCCTAATGTATTTTCCTCCTATGGTTAATAGCAACACCATCCACTCAAATCAGAAACCTGAAATTGATGCCCTGTACCTCTTCCTCATCATGCTCCCCCAATATCCAAAAGCCTAACAATTTTACTTCATTAACATTTTTCACAACTGTCCCCTCCTCTCCATCCCTACCTCAGATCCTCTTCAATTCTGAGTTATACAATTTCACAAGCCTCCTGATTATTCTACCTGCCTCCAGTCTCTCCTAATGTCCTTAGCCGCTCACGCCCAATTCATTATTCACACTACTGCCAAACATTCTGGCAAAATGTGCATCTGTTAGTCACTTGTGTAAAATTACTTAATAACCCTTTACTGCCTAGAGCAAGCTTGTCCAACCAGAAGTCCCGGCCCAGGGGCTGCATGAGGTCCAATACAAATTTGTAAACTTTCTTAAGACATTATGAGATTTTTTTGTGATTTTTTTTTTTTTAAAGCTCATCAGCTATCATTAATTTTAGTGTATTTTATGTGTGGCCCAAGACAATTTTTCTTCTTCCAATGTGGCCCAGGGAAGCCAAAAGGCTAGACACCCCTGACCTAGAGGATCAATTCCAGACCTCTAACCCTAGCAAACAGGCCCTCCAACTATATATATTCCCTGCCCTTTTATATTCTCCTGGTACTTCGGCACCAACTGGCACCATGTCGAACCACATGGGCCAGTTTCTCTTTCCTATATTGTTCTCGAACTTCTACTTATCCAACATACATATTCCCCCTTTCACCAAATCCACAAGACAAACTTCTACTATTCCTTCTTCAAGACTCAGCTCAAGAATCTTCTCCTCTATAAAGCCATCCCTGACGATGCCAAGCAGAGGTAATTACTCTACTCTGTGCTATCATCACACCTAGAACATGCATTTATAATTATTATAACTATATTACAATTTTTTACATGTCTGTTTTCCCTACTAGATTGTGTGCCTTCCAATAACAGTCTGTTTTATCCACATTTGTATCCCCAATTTTATATAAAATGACAACGAAAACTTCCACATTACAAACTGGCTTCATTTCGTTAAAGTGCTGTTCTTTCTCCCCACCTCCCACCCACTAAGTAGCTAACTTCCTTATTTTAAGGAAACAGAAAAATGGAAGGAAAAAGTACTAAGAGTTTGGTGCCTAGATGCTGCATCAGACAGAAAAGCCATCAACAATTCAATTTCAACAAACAGAGCATCTATTATTTGCTAGATGCTAAAGACATGTAGATAAATATGGTGCCAATCTTCAAAAGCACAATTCAGTAGAACAGAAAAATATTTAAGCATATAATCTGCAATTAAGCTAGTAAGCCATTGTGAAGAAGAAAACAAAGTGCTAAAAAAGCAAAGAGAATAGAGCAATTAATGTACCTCAGGAGTTGAGATGGCTCTGTAAAACAAAAAACAAACAAACAAACAAAAGTGGCCAGTGAAAATCTGAGTTTATTACTTGTCATACTGTCTGCCCAGTCTTTTGAAGAGAAAAATGTTCCATCTAGAACCCCTAATATATAAATATATTTGCCTTCCTCCATCTCCAGTGGATGAAGAATGGGAATCTGACACATAATTCTAAACTGGCCTCATGAACTCAACTAGAAAAAAACTAAGTCAATCAGATTAACTATGTCAGAAATGTGAACTAAGAAATACCAATGACTCTTGGGGGATGAGCTAAAGGGTTATTAGGTAGAGCCGGAGTTTTATGGTCATGAAACCTAATCAAAGGTAAGGTGAGCAGAAACTCAGATCAGAATAGACAAAGGCACTTGAAGAACAGCCAAGTCACACTGATGGTCCAGTACCAGTGAAGTTCTACCAACATCTGTTAATTCCTCTCGTGTCGCCTTACTTTGAAAAGCACCTTCAATTCCATACTTCACAAATCCCAGTCATATTATAGTTCCATTCTTAGATCCTTGTGATAGTCCACTGATATAGTTTGAATGTTTGTCCCCTCCAAATCTCATGTTGAAATATAATCCCCAGTGTTGGAGGTAGGGCCTGGTGGGAGGTGTTTGGGTAATAGGGGCCGATACCTCATGAATGGCTTGGTGCTGTCCCCCCAACAGTGAGTTCTCTCAAGATCTGGTTGTTTCAAGGTGTGTAGTACCCATCTCCCCCATCTCTTGCTCCTATTCTCACCATGTGAAACGCCTGCTCCCCTTCCCTTCTGCCATGATTGTAAGCTACCTAAGACCCTCACCAGAAGCACATGCTGGAGCCCTGCTTGTACAGCCTGCAGAACTGTGAGCCAATTAAATCTCTTTTCTTTATAAATTACTCAGGTATTCCTTTATAGCAATGCAAATGGCCTAATACATCCACACATATAAATAAATGTCCCCTTATTTGGGCCAGCTTGTGTGGGTCTCTTTGCTAAATAGCCTGACAAAAATAGAAATCTTGAAAGATTTATTTTCTCTGCAGTTGAAATAGTGAACTTTATTTTTCTTACATAAGACTTGAAATTACCAAATATAATTTGAATATAAAGTCAGACTCTTAGTTGTTCTGGATAACATTCTATCTAAACTCCAACAAACATTTTGGAGAAATAATGAACATTTACCAACTATTGTCCATCCGTCTATCCATCCATTCATCCATTCAACCATCCATCCATCCATAAAATAGTCCTTAATTCCCTAGAATACTTTTGATATGTCCCTAGTAAATATAAGTCCTGTAAATAGAACACTAATAAGACAGTTTATCTACAATCAAGACAGGAAGGGATTCACGCACTGTAACAATTGGTGGGTAGGATCTTCCCTAACCACACACACTAAATATAGATGTCTATATAAACGGAAATAAAATGCACATACAAGAAAATATGAAATTATAAATTTTCAACACGGTCAGTGTCTACTTACAGAATCTAAAATCCAAAGAGAAAATGGCATTGGAAAGGTTTTAAGACATGATAAATATGATTAAAGGGCTAGAACACAAACCCTATAATGAAGAATTAAAATACTTTGAATATTTTTCCTGCTGACTCAAATTTGGCTTTTAAAAATATAATAATTTGGCCAGGCGCGGTGGCTCGTGCCTGTTATTGCAACACTTTGGGAGGCCTAGGCAGGAGGACCACTTGAGCCCACGAGTTCAACTTTGCAGTAAACCATGATCCTGCCACTGCACTCCATCCAGGGCAACAGAGAAAGACTCTGTCTCTAAAGAAGAATATGATATACTGTTAAGAACTCTTTAGTTTACATCTATAAAATGGAGGCAACAGTAGTGTGTACTTCATAGGGTTGTTACGAGCATTAAATGAGTTAATATAAAGTGTTAACAGCAGTTCCTAGTACATAAAAGAGCTCAGTAAGCATTAATTAGTTAATATTACTATTGCCCACTGCACTGCCACTGTAAGGCAAAAAATAATAATTAGAAAAAAACTGCCAGGCCAGGTGCAGTGGCTCACACCTGTAATCCCAGCATGTCTGGAGGTCCAGGCGGGAGGATGGCTTAAGCCCAGGACTTTGAGACCAGCTTGGGCAACATAGAGAAAGAGACCCCATCTCTACAAAAAATTAAAAATGAGTCAGGCATGCTGGTGCACACCTGTATCCCCAGCTACTGGGCACAGCCTGAGGTAGGAGGATTCCTCGAGCCCAGTAGTTCAAGACTGCAGTGAGCTATGATCATGCCACTGCATTCCAGCCTAGATGACAGACTGAGACCCTGTCTAAAAAAAATACCAACTCCCCAGTTGGGGTGTCCAAGTATATCTAGGCAGCTGATTACTGGAATAAGGAACAGATAATAGAGAGAGACATACCCTACTGGTGGCCCTTTCACATCCTAACATTAGGTGATCACAATCTAGCGAGATGGGGAAAATCTATGAAAGTCAAACACATTAATAAACAGACTAAAGCTGTTCTGAGAAACATATGTGGCCAGGCGCAGTGGCTCTTGCCTGTATTCCCAACACTTTGGGAGGCCAAGGTGGGTGGATCATTTGAGATCAGGAGTTTAAGACCTGCCTCGTCAATATGATGAAACCCCATCTCTACTAAAAATAAAAAATTAGCCAGGCATGGTGGCACACACCTGTAGTCCCAGCTACTAAGGAGGCTGAGGTGGAAAAATTGCTTGAACCTATGAGGCGGAGGTTGCAGTGAGCCGAGATGGAACCACTGCACTCAGGCCTGGGCGACAGAGTGAGACCCTGTCTCAAAAAAGAAAAAGAAAAAGAAAAAAGAAAAACATATGTGAACATTTTAACAAGTGCAAAAAAAAAAGCACTTGAAAGTCCTAAACCAAGTTAAGACTGATAGGGAAAAAAAAAAAAATTATCAAAATTTATCAAAGCCTTTATAACAAATACCATGCTTGAAAATGAGCTTAAAGTCCCAGATTAGGGCCAAAACAAAGACGCCCACAAAATCACTACAATTTATTTGCTTTGCATTCATGTATTTTGTAAAATATTTTAAAACATTGAACTGTGGGCGGGGCACAGTGGCTCACGCCTGTAATCCCAACACTTTGGGAGGCTGAGGCAGGCAAATCACAAGGTCAAGAGTTCGAGACCAGCCTGGCCAACATGGTGAAACCCCATCTCTACTAAAAATACAAAAATTGGCCGGGCATGGTGGTGTGTGCCTGTAATCCCAGCTACTCAGGAGGCTGAGGCAGAAGAATCGCTTGAATCCGGGAGGCGGATGTTGCAGTGAGCTGAGATCACGCCACTGCACTCCAGCCTGGGCGACAGAGCAAGACTTCATCTCAAAAGAAAAAAGAAAAACAAACAAAGACAAAAAAACCCCACTGAACTGTGAGACTATTGATGCTATATGCCAAGGGCCAATGACTTTTTTTAATCCCTTTGGTAATATACATCCTGAAAACATTGTCAATCTGGATCAGATAATACCTGTTCCAAGTTTAGTTTAAAAAAAACAAACATTCATTATAAAATTTAGAAAAACTGAGTTTTGGTCAAGGCTTTGTCTTTAAAATTACTATTGTGACTTTTGACAAGTGAATTCATTTTTCTGGGCCTCAGTTTTCTCCTTTATAAAATGAAAAGGGGGCAGTTACTGGGTAATCTCTGGGGTCCTTTTCAATACTAATATCAGTTGTCCAAGATGAACTGTGAAGTCCTAATCGAGTATAATAACAAATCAACTTGAAATTGCCACTAGAGGGTGTCCTGCTCCAGGGCGGTATGCATGCCATAGGCTAATCTACAAAGCCAAGGGTGTATTTCTAGCATTTTACTGGTGCCTCAGTATTCCAACAGCTAAAGGATTATGGGACTCTGATTCAATTACTAACTCGTTCAGAACTGACGGTAGTCTTGCATCTGTATCAAAGCTAGTAATTGGGTAGAAAGCTGAAAGAAGACAGGATGTATGGAAAATTTTACAGAAACCCAGTGGAATTCTGAACATGGAGGAGGGAAGGTAGAGAATATGGAAAACCTAACCTAAAAGGGAAGGTTCATGGATGATGACAAGAGATTAAAGTCAATGATAACATCTAATCTAATAATCAGTATTAAATGACAGAGTCATCTCAGGAACATTTAAGTCACCTAAATTAATTACCTCTCTTTTTCCTCTTGATAGAGAAAATAGCCCTAAAATACAAGGCTATAATCATGATTATGTAATAGGTGCTTTAAATTCTTCTATTTTCTATTTTTTCTTGCTTGAAAGTTAAATATCATCTAAATAAAAATATTCACTAATCAGAATGACAAAATTAATGTAACTACTTTGTTGATTTTGACTAGCATTTTCTATTAGAATGAGTTGAGTACATTATCTCAAAGATACTCAAAGAATAATAAATAAGATGGCAGTTTCTCCAAAAAATAATCTTGGTATTAATATTTAAGACTACTAGCACACAACACTGTTTAATAGTACAGAAAGGCTAATGAATATACCTGAAAACTACCATGAAAAGTGTGCTTAATAAGGTAATTTGCTGAATTCTACCGAGAATCATTAAACAGTGCTAAAAGAGAATTTCAGCACCACTCAAAACAGCTAAAAAGACTGAGAAGAGTTCAAGTTACTGAGGTATTTAAAACACCAATAATGGCAGTTGGTTTAAGACCAAAAGTTATAACGCCTTTTAGGAGCTTTTATGCCTTGGGAGGGGCTGACGTTTCACACATCAAAGTTTGTCACCCAAGCAAAGCACAATTAATTAAATGGACACACAATCCAACCTTTTATATGTTTACAGTATAAAATTTTCCCAATAATTTTACAAAACTGGTTTTGAGATTCTATAGGCTGTAACTTTATGAAAACTTACTTCAGCATTATAAAACAGTTTTCAAAATCAATTCTACAAGATCCCAGATTCTGCCACTTTATGTTAAAAAGACTTTCCAGTGTATTGTACACCTGCAGCCATGTGTTCCTGTAAGTCTGTTATTATTCTTTACTTTTTACCAATTCTATTAGATTATCATTATTTGTTACCTGATCATACTCCAAGGCTCCTGGGTAGAGCGGCCATCCAAGAAATAATTCTGCAATCACACATCCCAATGACCACATGTCTATGGCTTCACAAAATGGCAACCCCAATATAATCTCTGGAGCTCTGAAATTTAAAATTAAAACAAAAATCAGGGTGGTTTTTCTCTAAAATTACCTAATTTCAACTGGCATTCTAGGAAGTTGGTAAAATGACAGAGGTATCACATTCTATGTATAGGAACTCTTCACTATTTCAGAACTCTTTGAAACCTAGACATAATCCTGAATTAATCTGAAAGGGGTACTATGAGTACAACATTTCTATAATAAAGTCTCTTCCACTGTAATCCTTTTCCCTTATAGTTTTACTAACATAACATTTTTTGAAAAAGGAAAAACATACATCTTGTTTTTAAGACTACAGCAGATCAGAAATAACACAATAGGAAGAGAACTGGCAAACTATTAAATACATACTATGACATCAGCAGAACTGAAAACCAGACATTGAGAGAGAAAACAAAAACAAAGCAAAATCCTCAAAGGCTAAAAGTGAATCTAGACCTAGATATTACTTCAGAATACAGTAATAAATATTTACCTAATTGGAGCCATTAGTCATCCAAGAGATTAAACTAAATTCAGTGTATTCTGTCTTAAAAGGCAGACAAGTATACAGCATATAACAACATAGTTAAAAAGCATTTCAGCACTTAAAAGTGTTTGGTCATTTGGGAAATGTACTCCAAGAAACATATTATTCCTAGATAAATTATGTTGCACCTTCATATGGATTTCCCTTGAGAAGATTCATGTTCTAAGACAGACTCCATGTACAGCTGTGTAATTCCAAAGAAGTCATATGGATCACAGTTATCCTAGATTAGTGTGCATGTGTTTAATTTTAAAACAATCTCAATCTTACAGAGAAGTTGCAAGAACAGTACATATTTTTTCCTTAAATCACCCGAGAATAACTTGCCAAATATCTGTATACTTTATAGTTCCTACAAAGAAGAATATTCTCCTACATAACCACAATACAATCATCAAAATCAAGAAATGAACTCTGATACATCTCCACCTTCTAAGCTTCAGACTCCATTTAAGTTTGGCCAATTATACTAATACCGTCCTTTTTGGCAAAAGGATCCAACTCAGGATCATGCATTGCATCTAGTTGTCCTATCTCTTTCAGTCTTTTTCAATATGGAATAATTCCTAAGTTTTGTCTAGATTTCCATGACCTTTGTATAACATATTACAGGACAGATATTTGAAGAAACGTCCCTCAGTGTGGGTTTGTCTGATGTTTCCTCATAATTAGATTCAGAGGAACATCACAGAAGTGATCATGTTTTCTCATTGTATCTTATTAGGCATGCAATTCTGATATGTTCCATTACTAATAATTTTTACTTTGATCACATGATGTCTGCTATATTTCTCTACTACTAAGTTCCTACTTTTCTCTTTCTAATTAAGTATTTTGTGGGATCTCAAATTGAAACTATATAAATAATCCATTTCTTATCAAACTTTCATTTTTTTCATTTATTTACCTGTATGAGTACAGATTAAAGGATTCCTACTTTGTTCAATGAGTTATAATCCATGACTATAATTACTTATTTTGATTCTCAGATTTTCCCAGATTTGGCGTGGTAGCTCACACCTGTAATCCCAGCACTTTGGGAGGCCAACATGGTAGGATTGCTTGAGCCCAAGAGTTCCAGATCAGCCTGGGCAACATAATGAGACCTCATCTCTCCAAAAAAAGAAAAAATTTTTTTTAATTAGCCAGGGTGATGGTCCGCACCTGTAGTCCCAGCTATTTGGGAGACTGAGGTGGAAGGGTCACTTGAGCCCAGGAGGTCCAAGCTGCAGTGAGCTGAGATTGTGCCACTGCACTCCAGCCTGAGGGACAGAGCCAGGCTCTGTCTCGGGGGAAAAAAAAAAAAATCCCAGATTTGACCAGTCATAACTCCCTCAGACTTTTATGTTCTTCTGACAATAATCTCTGATTATTTCTTTGCTTTCTGACACAGCAAGATATTCCAGGCACATCTTGTTCTTTCCCTGCTCCAGTCCTAAAAACAGCTATTTCTCTGAGGATCTCTGGTATCTTTTCGTATAGAATAGACCTTTGAAACAAAGATCAGGGAGCTATGGATCCTCATTACTATTGGGATGGTTCCCAGACCTTCTCAGTACGTATATTACCTAGAGTTAAGCAAAATAAGCCTGCTAATTTCTTAACTGAGACTGGGGGTTGTCATCTCCTAAGGCAGTGGTTCTCAATCTTGGCTACACATTACAATTATTTGGTCCTGGCCACACCCTACACCAATTAAATCAGAAACCCTGGGGATTAGACTTAGGAATCAAGAGTGGCTTCAACATATAGCCAAAGTTGAGAACCAAAGCCTTACACTCAAGAAGTTAGACCAATGGGAGGACCACCCCATTTCTTCCCTACAACTCTTCTGGCAAAGGAAATTCAGAGGATAATGAACAAGCTGTTTTCTACTACAGACTTGGGATCTGTCCAGTGAATATTCTACTCCTGGCCCCATCTCTGCTGTAAATAATACTTAAGATTCAGTAGAACCTTAACCAATCCACAGGCATTTGTTGAAAACAAGAGCCACGGGGAGATTCTATGAGGTATAAAAGATCTTCAAAACATGGTTATAAGAAGTTTTCATTCTTTTGACAAAATATTCAAGTGTGTGTATGGATGTATACACATTAATTATATTTAGGTATAATCAAATGCTAAAACGTGTTGTAGAAAGATAAAAAAAGGAAGCTGCACTGTTATTAATCCTATATATTCACAATATTGTACCAAAAAAAGCTATCAAAGATGGAGACCTTATCCCTTTTTGTTCATTATTTGTGTACCTAGAACCTTGTAAAGAATATGCATTCAGTAAACATTTCTCAAATAAATCATTTCAACACAGGTTGAGTCACACAAAGAAAAGTATCAGAGTACGGTCTGGTTTTGGACTAGGCCTTCAAATACAGAAGTCTAGGCAGAAAGAAAGAGAACGGGGCACAAGAGTTTATAAAGAGCATATATTAACCTATACTAAAAAAGATTCAAAGCAAAAATGCAGTTTTGAAAGTACGGCGTGGAAATGAGATTCACTACCAATGTTAACCATATACTAATCTGAATGCAAAACAAAAATCAGTAAGACTAATGATAGGCCTATTACTGTGTGTATAAAAGTTTTATGATTATTTTGAAATATTTAATATGGAAAATTCTTCATAGGATTTGAAATTTTTCGGTGTAGAACTTTTCAGTATCGCATTTGGCAATAAAGGAAAGTAACAATAACAGCACCTAAGATATACCACTTAAAGAGACTGAAATCATTTTAATTCTGTTAACAGTAAGAAAAGAGTTTCTGTCAGACAAAGAGCAACAAATTCCTTCTGCCATGTGCTACCATTTAATGAATAAGTCAAGTTTCTAACTGATGGTGACAACAAGAATACAGAGTCATCTTTACAAAATCTTGATCAGGAATTGCACATAGCCACTCAAACATAAAACCTGAGATACAAAAGTTACACTCACAGAAGCAAATTCAAGTTTCCCATTTTAAAATACAAAAGAGTTTTAACTGGGAGTTTTATACAAGTTCACTATCTATTATTGCATTAGTTCAGATCCTCTGAGAAGCAAATTAGATACACCAGAAATTTGCTGGGGAAGATGCCTGGGCAGCATACAGGCAGAGGAAGCAGAAGGAGGTGAGGAGAAACTTGAGCAGGGTCTGAGGGTGGAAGAAGAGAGGCAAAGGAGTAGTTAGGTACAAAGAACCTCCCACAGCAGTGCAGTTATGAGAAAGTCTCGGATAGGCCAATACCAAGTCCCTAAGCAAACATTATCTGTATGAGGAGCCTCCCATCAAGCAAGAATAGCCCAACTCTAGTGCCCCACACTGTGCCTGGTCATTGGTGGGAAGGGGCCCAAAGGAAGTATGGCCTCAGCCTGAGCACTGCAGCACATCTGAAGGTGCAGCAGCTGGAGGCTCTCAGCCAGCTGCTCTACACAGGGGACTCTCTTGAAGGGGATTCTGAGTGGCACACTTTCACAGCTGCCACAACTAGCTTCCCAAAAGCTTCCGCATTTCATTTCACAATACGTTATCTATCATAGAGAAAATGCAGTAAATTTCTTCACTAAGTCCCCTACAAACAAGACCAAATCCTCCCCAGTTAACCGTAGCATGCCATGCATTTTCTATGTATATCATACCATAGCATGAGGAAAGTTGGGAAGCAATGCCTGAAAGCACTTAAAATCTAGATGAAACTGCCAGAGACATGACAGTTCTACCAGCCAGTTTACAACACAATACACTTTAAAAAATAAACCATGCATTGAAAGAATACATCCGTCTGTCAGTAGTGAATAAAGCTTAGTTTACTGGTTTCATCTTAATTGGCTCTCAAATTCCTCCCATGGGCTAAATATACTTATGTATGGAAAAGACCATAGCAAGAATTCTGACTAATGGACCACTCACAGAAATCTTCTGTCCTACTCCTACAGAAAGTTCTTCCACTTTTTTCCTCTACTTTAACTCTTATCCTCTGGGCATGTGTATGTGGCAGTGCTAAGGATATTGCAGAGAATAGACATCATTTGTACTTTTGTAGAACAGTCAAGGCGCAAATTAAACATGCCAGTTGAATGGAGAATACAACTAAACCTGTTTCTCCCACTCTATAAATAATAACTCACAGTTAGAAGGTAAGTGTGAAAACCATAAACACAACAGTTTAGGGCATGTGATAAAGCCAATCTACATCTGAAATGCCATTTCTTTTCCTTTTTAATTTTTTGCCATGTGCTTTTAGTTGAATTTATCAATCCTTTTACTCTAAAATCTTGAAGCACTGATATAAAACTTATGTTAAAGTGGTTAAGTTGAAAAACAATTTTCATTTTATCCACTAGAAGTCACTCCCCCACTTCCTCAAACTTCTCCATCATTAGGCCACCACAAATCCACTTTCTGTCTCTATAGATTTGCCTATTCTGGACATTTCATATAAATGGAATCCAGCCGGACGTGGTGGCTCACGCCTGTAATCCCAGCACTTTTGGAGGCTAAGCCGGGAGGATCACTTGAGGTCAGGAGTTCAAGACCAGCCTGGCCAACATGGTAAAACTCTGTCTCTACTAAAATACAAAAATTAGCCAGGTGTGGTGGTGTGCACCTGTAATCCCGGCTACTTGGGAGGCTGAGGCAGAAGAATTGCTTGAGACTGGGAGGCAAAGGTTGCAGTGAGCCAAGATCACACCACTGCACTCCAGCCTGGGCGACCAGAGCTAGACTCTGTCTTCAAAAAATAAATAAATAAATAAATGGAATCCCATAATACGTAGTCTTTGTGACTGGCTTCTTTCACTTGGCATAATGTTTTCAGTGTTCAACCATGTTTTAACACATATCTGCACTTCATTTATTTTTACTGCTGAATAATATTCCCTTGTATACAATATTTTATTTATCCATTCATCGGGTAATGGACATTTGGGTTGTTTCTACTTTTTGTCTATTATAAAAAATGAGCTGTTAACAGGACAGGCCATGTCAGCTCACCAGGATGCTGAGAAGAACACACTCCAGTGCTCAGGAAGGTCAGAGTAGAGAGGGTCTACATGAAGAACAACTATGGCCTCAGACAGAACTGGCCTATTCAGGAAGAAAATGCCTTTGATGGAACATATATTCAAAAAGGAAACAGTGGCCACTCGTTTTTCTAGTTTTTTTTTCTGAGACGGAGTCTCGCTCTGTCACCCAGGCTGGAGTGCAGTGGCGCAGCCTTGACTCACTGCAATCTCCACCTTCTGGGTTCAAGCAATTCTGCTGCCTCAGCCTCCTGAGTAGCTGGGACTACAGGCATGTGCCACCATGCCAGGCTAATTTTTGTGTTTTTAGTAAAGATGAGGTTTCGCCACATTGGCCAGGCTGGTCTCGAACTCCTGGCCTCAAGTGATTTGCCTGCCTCGGCCTCCTGAAGTGCTGGGATTACAGGTGTGAGCCCTTGGCTATGGGCACTAGTTTTTAAAGGAACTATTGATTTTTCTTCCTACTTTGTCCAGTGCAACAGCCTTTATGATTGAGCTAATCTTGTCCTATTCATTTTTCAAACCTCTAGGCCACTAAAAGAAAATAGTAAGAACCTCTTGCTCATATACTGGCAATCCAATATAAAAGAACATGGATCATGCATGCAATTCCCTTCAAGCAAATTTCATTGAACTTTATGTTACAGTAGTACTAAAAAGTTGGGAATGTAATGGCCAGGTGTGGTGGCTCATGCCTGTAAGCCCAGCACTTTGGGAGGCCGAGGCAGGCAGATCACGAGGTCAGGAGATCGAGACCATCCTGGCTAACACGGTGAAACCCCATCTCTACTAAAAATACAAAAAATTAGCTGGGTGTGGTGGCAAGCGCCTGTAGTCCCAGCTACTCGGGAGGCTGAGGCAGGAGAATGGTGTGAACCCGGGAGGCGGAGCTTGCAGTGAGCCAAGATCGCGCCACTGCACTCCAGTCTGGGTGACGGAGCAAGACTCTGTGTCTCAAAAAATAATAATAAAAATAAAAAGTTGGGAATGTATGAAGAAAAGCTCTGGGAAGACAAACACTGGAGCCTGGTAAGGAAGCACTGATTTCACATAATAAAAATCACCTAAATAGAGCTAGATTTCAAATACTCAGGAGTAGATACACAGCTCTCCCCCTAATAGCGAGTAATTTACCTAAGCCTTAGTATTTTCATTTTTAAAACAGGGTTTTACTAACCTTCCACACTCAGAAGATTATCTAAAGGACTAAGTAAAAGAATGTGTGTGAAATGTAAAGCAGTATATACATTCCTGTGAACTATTCATACTCACTGTCCTACTTCACACTTCCTCTTTTCAAACATCCACCTCCTCCTCATCCTCACTGTTGTCCTTGTATTCTACTTTACTAAAATAAATAGATGTAATTTGAAAGACAGCTTCCACATTCTTACCACATCTACTAGACCACTTGCAGCTGTCAGTGTAATGCTTCTATCTAAGACATCCATGCTCACCTACTGAAGTACATCACTCCAATTTCCCACCCTCATTACCAATATCTCTTTCTCTATAGGACAATTCTAGATCTCCATCTTGGAAAAATAAAGGAGAATAAAAAAACTCTTGATTATATATCCTCCTTCAGCCATCACCCCTTTTTCTGTTCCCATTTTACACCAATCCTTCTTGAAAGCACTGTTTATACAAGCTGCCTCCAACTCCACCCCCATCTTGAACTCATTCAAAAAGGCTTTCATTACCCTATCATTCCACCCAGATAGCTCTTATCAAGGTCACTAAACCACTGCATTCGCTACGTCCTCAATCTACTTGACTTGCAGTATTTAACACAGCTGATTATTAATCTACCTGCACTTGAATTCCAGGGCACCAGAACTCTTCGTTCTCCTCCTTATCTCACTAGCACACCCTTTTCAGATTGCTTCACTAGTTCCGTTTCATTTTCCCAACGTTTAAACTTTGGGGTATCTGAAGGCTCAGTCTTTGGGAATCTATCCTCTCTATGTGCACTAACCTCCCTTACATGATCTCATCCTGTCACATGTTTTTAAATAAGCACCTCTATTCTTAAGACTCCCAAACGTACATCTCCAACTCAGACCTCTCTCTTTTAACTCCAGACTTGTGAATCCAATTGTCTGCTCAGCACTTCTTTTTGAATGTTTATTAGGCATCTCAAACTGAATGTGTTCAGAAAAACTCCTGATTCCCCCAAACTCACTTCTCTCACAGTCCTACCCATGTCAGTAAACGACAATTCTGTCCTTTCAGTTTCTCAGGCCCACAACCTGTGAGAATCAAATTTAACTCCTCTTTTTCTCACTTCCCACATCAGCAAATTCCATTGACTCTATCTTCAAAATATGGTGTATCTATTAACAGAATGTAACTACCTTTACTGCTACCATCCTGATCCAAACCACCATCACCTCTCATCTGGATTACTGCAAGAACTTCCTAACTATTCTTGCTTCTGTCCTTATCCTCTACCATCTCTTCTCATTCTAGCAGTCTGAGTGATCCATTTAGTACACAAATCAGACCATGTCACTCCACTCCTCAAAATCCCAGCTGGCTTCCTATCACAGTAAAAGTCAAATTCCTCACAATGTAACCACCTTTACTGTTACCACTCTAATCCAACCCCCCATCACCTCCATCTGTTATTACAAGAGCTTCCTGTTCTTCTTTGCTTCTGTCCTTACCCTCTGCCATCTATTCTCAATCTAGCAGCTTGAGTGATCCATTTAATACATAAATTAGACCATGTCACTCTTCTCCTCAAAACCCTGATAGCTTCCTATCTCAATTCCTCACAATGGCCTACAAGGGGCAGCCCTTAGCTACATCTGAAACTTCCTACCATTCTCCCACTTGCTTGCTCTGGTCCAGCCACATTAGTCTCCTTACTGTTTCAAACCATAGTTCCTGCCTCAAGACCTCTGCATTTAAAAATATCTGGGAGAAGAGAGTTCCAGGCAGAGAGAATACAAGACTTGATCCCTTCCTCTTACTTTGTGTTACTGCTTAACAGTCATATTACTAGAAAGGCCTTCCCTGACCATCTTAAATAGAAGAGTAAACCCTCACCAACACATGGCACTTGCCTTTCTTCCTTTATCTTGCTTGACTGTTCTCTATAGCACTTGTCATTAACTGATAAATATGTTGGCTTATTATCTATTTCCTCTCTGCCCCCACTAGAACATAAATTCCATGGGGGCAAGAACTTTAATTCTTTTAATGCTATATTCCCAACACATAAAACACTTCATTATTTGTTCAATGAATTGATCAACCAACAAAAGCTAATAGCATACATCATTCATTCAGGAAAACAAAGAAAATGTTGTTAAACATCACCAATAAGAGCTGAACAAGTATGAACCAATGGACTCTTACATAGCCATTTTGCATTGGGGACAACTGTTTTATCACTACAAAATTTAAAAAAATACTATTTACTGAGCTTTAACAATGTGCCAGGTATCATGACTTTTTTTTTTTTTTTGAGATGGAGTTTCGCTCTTTTTGCCCAGGCTGGAGTGCAATGGCACAATCTCGGCTCACTGCAACCTCCGCCTCCTGGGTTCAAGCAATTCTCCTGCCTCAGCCTCCCAAGTAGCTGGGATTACAGGTGCCTGCCATCACACCCAGCTAATTTTTTGTATTTTTAGTAGAGATGGGGTTTCACAATATTGGCCAGGATGGTCTCGATCTCTTGACCTCATGACCCACCTGCCTCGGTCTCCCGAAGTGCTGGGATTACAGGCATGAGCATAATTTCATTTAAAGAAAATGTTTTAAAAACAGATTACTGCATTGTTCTTCTACCCAAGACCAAAAATGTGGGTAAACAAAATGTTCTACATGAAACAGAAGAACCCCTGGGTTGAGTACAGCCAATCCACAGAATGAGAAATAATAAATCATTGTTTCTGAAGCAACCAAATTTTGGAATTGTTTGTCACACAGCAACAGATAACAAATACACTGCCCAAAGTTACTCAGAAAGTGGTGGGACTGGAATTTAAATGTAAACCCCTGATTCTAAAGCCTCTTTCTCTATTCCATTTCATCTCAAATCATAAAACCTTTTGATTCAAAGAAACACAGGAAACCAAATGAACAGAAAACCTAGAAATTGGCCCAGAAGTAATTTTTGGCAATTCAATAAAGATATCCTCTGATTTTATTTTCTACAGAGCAGGAAAATACTGACTTATATTTTCTAATAGTTATATAACGTGAGAAAACATTTGTTATGTTCCTTTTATGATTAACTGGTCTTTAGATTTCTATGACAATCAAAAGAAAAGGGGAAGAGACAGAGAGATTTTGCTGGCATTTTTTAAACCAAACTTTTCATCCTACATAAATCCTTTTTAAAATATACAGTAACAGTAATAAAGTACCAACATAATACTATGAACCAAGCAATGTTCTAAGCATGAGTATTAACCCATTTGATATTCATATAAAAACTTTTAATAGATGAAGAAACAGACAAAGGGTAAGTAACTTGCCTAAGGTCACACAGCTAGTAAGAGGTATAGTTAGAACTCAAAATCCATGCTTTTAACCACTACACCTTAAAATAAATAATTCCTATGATCCCTAAAACTACTGGACTTTTGGGCCAGTCACTGTGGCTCACTCACGCCTATAATCCCAGCACTTTGGGTGGCCAACATGGGAGGACTGCTTGAGGTCAGGAGTCCGAAACCAGCCTGGGTAACATAGTGAGACCCCCATCTCTATAAAAAATAAAAATAAAAAAAATTTAAGAAAAAAAACTATTGGACTTTTATCTTAATGGAAGTGCTCAGACTTAGATGCTGCATTTCTCAATAATCTCTTTTTCTTTAAACCTATCACCTTTGATTTTAAAACTAATCAGGAAATGTAAAATATAACATATTTAAGAGAATTCTAGCAGACATTTTACTGAACTCTTCCTATAATTTAAGCATTTACTCATCTTAACCATAAAAAATCTTTCACATTAAATACATAGACATCCTCTAAAATACCTCTTAGTTAAAACAAAGCTCTTATTTTGGGGGACACAGAGTTCCTAAAGACGACTGTAACATCTTTTTACAGAGGCAGTTAGGAAATGAGCTCAACAGTGGATGTGACCATCTACTAGTCAGTAGGTGTGATTAGTCACAGATACCAATTCATCATGCACTCAACAAATTCTTACAAGTTAAACCCCTATACTTGTAACAAAAGACAGCAAAGACCTAAAGTGGTTATAAAATGCAGGCATAGATAAACAAGTGTTTGTACAAGCACAGCAAATAGAAGGATACACACCTAAGTTGTATCAGCAATTATCAATGAGGAATCAACCTGGCAAGGAGTAGGAAATGCTATATATTTCCACAATATTTTATTGTTTCTAAAACAAGCATCTCATACTATAAAATAAGACTGGCCAGGTGCAGTGGCTCACGACTGTAATCCCAACTCTTTGGGAGGCCAAGCTGGGAGGGATCACTTGAGCCAGGAGGTCAAGACCACCTCAGATAATATATGGAGACTCCGTCTCTACAAAACAATTTTTTAAAAATATTAGCTGAGCATGGTGGTGTGTGCCTGTGGTCCCAGCTACTTGGGGAGCTGAGGTGGGAGGACAGCCTGAGCAAGACTACAGGGAGCTCAGACTGTGCCACTGAACTGCAGCCTGGGCAACAGAGCAAGACTCAAAAAAAAAAAAAAAAAAAATAGGGCCAGGCACAGTGGCTCACGCCTGTAATCCCAGCACTTTGGGAGGCTGAGGCAGGAGGATCACTTGAGGTCAAGAGTTCAAGACCAGCCTTGGCCAATACGGCAAAACCCCATCTCTACTAAAAATACAAAAATTAGTCAGGCATGGTGGCGCACACCTGTAATTCCAGCTATTAGGGAGGCTGAGGCATGAGAATTCCTTGAACCTAGGAGGCGGAGGTTGCAGCAAGCAAGATGGCACCAGCCTGGGCAACAGAGCAAGGCTCTGTCTCAAAAAAAATTAATTAAACACATAATAAAAAAAGATTAATGTTTAAAATTGTCAGTCTTTGAGACTGCAAAGGAATTTACTAGTTTTCTTACTATAAGTATCAAATTAGATCTTAAGTGAATCTTATTTATTTTTATTTATTATAAGGAACAATTTTCTGGGTTTTTTGTTGTTGTTTTGTGATGGGGTCTTGTCTATAGCCCAGGCTGGAGAGCAGTGATGCAATCATAGCTCACTGCAGTCTCAACCTCCAGGGTCTGGCAATCCTCCTCCCTCCAGCATCCCAAGTAGCTGGGACTACAGGCGTGCACCACCATGCCCAGCTAATGGTTTTTATTTTTTGTAGAGACATGGTCTTGCTACATGCCCAGGCTGGTCTCGAACTCCTGGCCTCAAGTGATCCCCTTACCTCAGCCTCCCAAATTTCTGGGAATACAGGTGTGAGCCACCATGCCCAGCCAGGAACAATTTTCTAATACATGTATTTGAAGTGGGAATGTGTTGCCTCAGGGGGAAAGAAATATTGGAGATGTCCCTTCAAGCTTCTATCGCTGTGTAGAGGATACCATAAAGGAGACTCTTTTAGCATAACAGGGGAACTTACACTAGAGTACCTGCAAGACTCCTTCCAAATCATAATGCAACTAAAATTTATGAAAATACAGAACAGCATTTCCACAAGTGGAACTTTAACAGAAGGATGACTGTCAAAATACTACTAGTGAGTTTATTTCAGGTTAAAGCAGCTTTTTCAATATCCCACAGAATGGTGCTTTTTTAAAACAAGCAACAAACCCTCAACATTCTTAGAAAGGTAGACAGATTTCAAAACAGATGATCAACCGCTTCTACAAATATTTTTTGTTATGAATGTTTTCGATATAATAAGAAATAACATCACTACAGAATACTGGACCTTCATGCAGATTGTTTTTATGACTCTATAACCGCAACTATCCATGTTGTGATTACATGTTGAAATGTAATCAAAGTACAGGCTCAGAATAGATACTCATTCAAATGTAGTTTGTGTCTTAGACTAAAAATATCACAGTTAAAAATATCCTTATTGAAAGGCCACTTAATCTTTTAAGTATGCAGGACAATGATCCAGATCAAAGCACCAAGTACAAAGAATAACAACAATAACAAATATTTTCAAAGCCTATTAAATTTTAAACTCAAGAGATGGAGGATAGAAGACAGCAAAGATTTAATATTTGTTACCAATATGCCACAAATATAGTTCACAGCCCAATACCAAAAGAGATGAATACAGCAATAATTTGCATTTCTATGACTGATCAATAGCTAATATTTTATAAAAATAGGAGTCAGGGCCAGGCACAGTGGCTCACATCTGTAATCCCATCACTTTGGGAGGCCAAGGCAGGCAGACAGCTTGAGTGCAGAAGTTCGAGACAAGGCTGGGCAACACAGCAAGACCTTGTCTCTACAAATAAATAACTTAGCTAAGGCCAGGCGCAGTGGCTCACGCCTGTAATCCCAGCACCTTGGGAGGCCGAGGCAGGTGGATCACGAGGTCAGGAGATCAAGACCATCCTGGCCAACATGGTGAAGCCCCATCTCTACTAAAAATACAAAAATTAGGCAGGTGTGGTGGCGCGTGCCTGTAATCCCAGCTACTTGGGAGGCTGAGGCATGAGAATTGCTTGAGCCCCGGAGGCCAAGGTTGCAGTGAGTCAAGATCACGCCACTGCACTCCAGCCTGGGTAACAGAGCAAGATTCTATCAAAAATCTCACAATATGTAAGAGAAGACTGTGAGAACATTACTAACATATATCAAGAGAGAGAAGCTAAGGGACCAGATTGGTAGGGTAACACAAAAAGTATCTGTGGAAAATAAAGACAAAACATGTCAGTAACTGAGGTAGCATGTATCTGTTCTTTACATGTTAATGTCGAAAAATTAATGTATGATTATCACAGCTCATATATACACACTATATTATTAGTGCTACATATTTGTATTGCATTTGGATTTTACAATCTTTTCGAATATCTTATTGTATGACATAACAAAATAAATGTAAGTATCCTGATTTTACAGGTGATTAGGAGGTGAGTATGGAACAATCCAATTATGTCTTAAATTTATCTGACTATGAAGTATATTTAAAATTATAATGTATCGTCAGTAAAACACCAACAGAGGCTCATAATCTATTAGGTATATTTAGGCTAGATCAGACAACAAAAATTATTTAACTGCAATAAATGATTTAACTTTCTAACTTTGTAAAATTATTAACAATAATTTAAAATGTTGATTGAGTACTTATTAGAGTCAGCTTCTTTATTCGTTTTTGTGTGTGTGTGTGTGAGATGGAGTCTCTCTCTGTCACCCAGGCTGGAGTGCAGTGACACAATCTCAGCTCACTGCAACCTCTGCCTGCCGGGTTCAAGCAATTCTCCTGCCTCAACCTCCCAAGTAGCTGGGATTACAGGCACCTGCCACCATGGCTGGCTAAATTTTTTTGTATTTTTAGTAGAGACGGGTTTTTACCACATTGGCCAGGCTGCTCTTGAACTCCTGACCTCAAGTGATCCACCCGCCTAGGCCTCCCAAAGTACTGGGATTACAGGTATGAGCCACCCTCCCCAGCCTAGAGTCAGATTCTGTGCTAAATGTTTTACATTCATTATCTCACTTAATCCTAACAAAACCCTTTGAGGTAGATACATTATCCCATTTTAGACAGGAGAAAACTAAGTGCAAAAGTAACTTTTCATGATCTCTCAGTTAGTGAAAGGTGGGGCTTATACAAACCTATGCAGTCTGAGTGACAGTCCAAGCTCCTCACCACCATGTAGATAAATCATTTTTTACTTTATGAACTATTAAATGCATTATTCAGCCAGGTGCAGTGGCTCATACCTGTAATCCCAGCATCTTGGGAGTCCATGGCAGGAGGACTGCTTGAGCCCAGGAGTACGAGACCAGCCTGGGCACATAGCAAGGCCCCATCTATACAAGCAACATCATGCACACCTTCAGTCCCAGCTACTTGGGAAGCCGAGGCAGGAGGATTGCATGAGCTCACAAAGTCAAGATTGCAGTGAGCTGTCTTTATACCACTGCACTCCAGCCTGGACCCTATCTCTCAAAAAAATTTAAAAAAATAAATAAATAAAAATAAAATAAACACATTATTTAACCATAAGACCGGGTACTTGTGCATAAATGAGCACATAGAAAATGACACTCTGGTTCATCAGGTGATCTCACGTAATCTCATGGTGCTCTGGAGCACACCATTTCTTAAATTATCACTTAACAGCTAGAAAAATCATTAGTATTTTTCCTATACTTTTTTTTCCTTATAACTGATCATGTTGACATAATTTTAGACTTACAGAAAAGTTGCAAAAAATAGCACAATTCTGATAATACCCCTCAACTAGATTCCCCAAATGTTAACACTTTACTCCATTTGCCTTAACTCTCTTTCTTTTATATACACACACAAATATAATTTTTCTGAACTGTTTGAGAGTTAAGTGGCAGACACTGTACCCCTTTACTTCTAAATGCTTCATTCAGTGTATACTTCCCCAAAACAAGCTCTTGCATAGCTACAGTATATTTGTCAAAATCAGGAAATTAATATGATATTACAATTCAATGTTGCCAACTGTCCCAATAATGTCACAACAATACTTTAAAAAAATAAATAAATCCCAGATTCATGTTTCTTTAGTTTTGCTTAGCTGAAATAGCTCCTTGGTATTTCTGTGGTTTTCATGACACTGTCATTTTCTAAGAATACACACCAGTTATTTTGTATAATATCCTTCAATTGGTGTTTGTTTAATATTTTCTCATAAGAAAATTCAGTTAATTTTTAGCAGGATTACTACAGGAGTGATGCTATCTTACACTTGATTTTTTCAAAGCGCTTATTAGAAAACATATTATTACCATCAATTTTTCAAGTACAACCTATTAATGATTCTTAGAACAATTGTTATGTGCTGGTATAGTCAAATAAATACAGACTTTGGAGTAATAGAGAACTAAATTCAAATCCCAACTCTGGCAATTACTTACAAACTCAATGCCTTATGTGAATTGTAAACGTCACTGCAGCCTCAATTCATACATTTGTAAATGAGAGATATACTTGCCTTTCCAGATTATTGTGACAATAAAACCAAGTAAAGCACTTGGCACATAACTAGTCTCCCTTAAACCCAAAAGCATCACAAGTTAAGAGTGCTTGAGTGATTTCCCCAGGGTCAATAAATGATAGTGGCAAGACAAAAACTTAAGATTTAAATTGTAAACCATATTAGAAATAAAATATGCCCTCTACAAAGTGTCCTCACAATATTTATATATGTATCTTATCAACTCTGTTAAGAAGACTGGAAAGATCAGAAACTGTCTCTCATTTGTATATTTCATACAATCCCTGGCAGAGTCTTTTACAAACTTAAATCACTCCTTAAAGATGTATTCGATGAACACAAAATATAGAGACATAATGCTCCCCAAATACATTCCATTTTAATCTGTATTTTAAATGAAATTCTCAGGTTTTTGATATCATACGGAATAGCCAACAAAATTAATCAACTTCTATATCTAGAAGAGTGGGATTAAAGTGAACATGAAAATATAGCACTCTTCCACATAACACACCCTGCATAATTTCCTATCAAAACCAGTAATCCCAACAAATAACAGTCTAGAGAACTGCCAGGAGCCATCAAGGCACCTTCAAATATACTGAATTATATTGTCTAATAAAGAAAATGGAAGGATACTGAACAACTATAGAGCTAGAAAAAATATACACATAAAAATAGCTGTGTGTAGCCAGACAGTGGTGCACATCTGTAGTTGGAGCTTCTCCAGATGCTGAGGCAGAAGGATAGCTTGAGGCCAGGAGTTCAAGACCATCCTGGGCAACATAGCAAGACCCTGTCTCTACAAAACACACACATACAAAAAATTAAAAGCTGTATTTTTTCGTGGTGTGTGTGTGTGTGTGTGTGTAGAAACAGGGTCTTGCTATGTTGCCCGTGTGTGTGTGTAGTGTGTGTGTGTGTGTGTGTGTGTGTAGAAACAGGGTCTTGCTATGTTGCCCAAGTGTGTGTGTGTAGTGTGTGTGTGTGTGTGTGTGTGTGTGTGTGTAGAAACAGGGTCCTGCTATGTTGCCCAAGCTGCTCATGAACTCCTGGAGCGATCCTCCTGCCTCAGCCTCCCAAAGTGCTGGGATTACAGGTATATGCCACTGCATATGGCCAAGACTTCAACTCTTTAAAAACAAAAACAAAAAAGGGTGTGTTTTCTGACTTTGCGTGATAGCAATGCATCAATGGAGGTTTATCAATCCTAACAAATGTACACTGTGGTACAGGATGTCAATAGTGGCAGGCTGTATGTGTACAGAGGCAGGGGGTATACAGAACTCAGTACTTTCTGCTCAGTTTTTCTGCGAACCTAAAACTACTCTACAAAATAGTCTATTGAAAAACAAACAAACAAAAAAGGCCAGGCATGGTGGCTGAAACCTGTAATCCTGGCACTTTGGGAGGCCAAGGTTAAAGGACAACTTGAGCCCAGCAGTTGAGACCAGTCTGGGCTGCAAGACTTCGTCTCTACACAAAATGAAAAAATGAGTCAGGTGTAGTGGCACATGCCTGTGGTCCTAGCCACTCAGAAGGCTGAGGTGCGAGGATCACTGGAGCCCAGGGGGTCAATGCTGTGGTGAGCTGTGATCTTACCACTGTACTCTAGCCTGGCCATAAAGCAAGACTTCATCTCAAAAAAACAAAAAACAATTTAAAAAACAATGCGCAAAGTCATCAGAGAACAGACAAGACAGCCAGGACCTGAGAGAATAAAATCCCAGAGTAAAGAGAAAACTTACTAAAGTGAGCCTTATATATCCTTAAGGTAGTCAACAATTCAAAGTAAGGCATAGAGGCTGAACAGAAAGTAGTAGTCAAGAGCCTGCAGCCATCCCACTGGGCCGGCAAAACAAAACCTGGAATTCAGAACCTACCAAGGAAGAGGGGCCTTGGCAGATGCCTCAGGCTTTTCAAGCAAAACCACAAAGGGCTGAACTACTAGAACAAAGACAAACTGAAACAGACCGGTCTCCCTTAGAATAACATGATCTACCTACTTGATCTGCCTTCCAGCATAAAACTGCATTTTCTCTGGAGGAAGATTTCATGTAGACTCACTAGCATACCGCTGTCCTACCGTATTTTCGCAACAACGGAAATGTTCCTATCTGTACTATTTGTACTATCTCTATCTGCACATGTAGCTATTGGGCACCTGAGATGTGGCTAATGTAACTGAGGAATTTAATTGCAAATTTTATTTAATTTTAATTAATTTAAACTTAAATAGGCTGGGCACGGTGGCTCATGCCTGTAATCCAAGTACTCTGGGAGGCCAAGCTGGGCGAATCACTTGAGGCCAGGAGTTTGAGACCAGCCTGCCCAACATAGCAAAACCCCATCTCTACTAAAAATACAAAAATTAGCTGGGTCATGGTGGTGCACACCTGTAATCCCAGCTACTCAGGAGGCTGAGAGGCAGGAGAATCACTTGAACCTGGGATGTGGAAGTTACAGTGAGCCAAGATGGTGCCACTGTACGCCAGCCTGGGTGACACAGCAAGACCCTCAATAGAATAGATAGATAGATTAGATAGATAGATAGATAGATAGATAAGATAGACAGACAGACAGACAGACAGACAGACAGACAGACAGACAGACAGACAAAGATAGCCAGCCAGCCAGCCACAGTGATTAGTGGCTACCATATTGAACAGCACGTGTCAAGAATTTTTCATACCCAAGGACCAATGCTAAAAAACAAAGTTGTCATTCTAACAAGAAATATAATCAAATGCCAAAAACCAATGGGGGAAAAGATATTGGTAGAAGCATCACCACAGTTATCCAGCTATTGAAATTTTAAAACAGGGACTTTAAAATAACAATAGAAATGTGCAAGAAAATGGATGGAATGGCAGAGAACTTCAGCAGAAAGCTGGAATCTACTTTTTAAAAAAACAAATTCAACAAATGGCTACTCATAACTTGACTTATAAATACCACCTGTACATCTCACCATATATAAAATTTACCTCCAAAAAAAGAACCATAAACAAATATTAAGCTTTACTTTATGATACACATGCTGAAGTGTTTAGCAGTACAGTGTACTGGTATCTATAACTTACTTTGAATTGCCTCATAAGATAAAAATGGATTGATAAATGGATAGAGGGAAAGATGGGATAAAGCAAATGTCGCAAAATGTTAACTGTAGAATCCAGGTGGTGGGTGTATGTGTGTTTGCTGTATAATCTGAACCCCAAAAGAGCCAATCCTTCAAGATGGATCCTAAGTGGCTAACTGGGTCTAAATTAAAAATAAGAGTCAAGCAGCCACTTGCTGATTAGAGGTCACACACTTACTATTAGTTCCAGGGAAACTTACATGTCTGTTTAACTTTGGGACTTTCATAGCTTCCTGTTCCTATATATTCTGCCTGAACCAACCAGTCAACCAATCAGAACTAAGCAAGTTTGGGCTGGGTGTGGTGACACACCTGTAATCCCAACACTTTGGGAGACCAACATGGGAGGATCACTTGAGGCCACAAGTTGGAGGCCAGGCTGGGCAACATGGCAAGATCCCGTCTCTAACAAAAAGGAGGGAAGGAGGGAAGAAGGGAGCAAGTTCTAATCCTCCATTTGCATAAATGGACTTGAGTGGGAACCTGGGTGGGATCTCTATAAAAGACAATACCTCCCTCAGGTTGAGGGTGATCTCTGGGCAAATAAATAAAAAATAAATAAATAAAAAGATAATCCCTCCCTTTGATCTCTGGAAAGTATCTTCATTTTTACACAGAAGGCTATGCCTTCCTAGTTTGCAAACTGCTCACTCGAATAAAGCCTCTTTCCTCTAAATTCCTTTTCAGAGAACTTTTGTTCACAAATCCATCCTTTTTATTTTATTATTACTATTTTTTTAATGTTTTACAGTAAAATATTGGTGAGAAGAGGAATTTTTAAAAGATAGGCCAGACTGAAAATACACAGATTGAAACAGAAAAGCAGTAAAAGGAAATATAAAAAAAGTATTGAGGGGAGGGAAAACATCAGAAATATACAGATCATTTTTAAAGTCTTATATATATAGAACTAAAATGCCAGAAGCAAAGGAGAAAGAGAAAATGTTAAAAAAAAAAAAAAAGTTAAAAGAAATACTTGCAGAGACACTGCCTGAGAATTTTCCAAAACTGGGGAAAGCTATTAAGAGATTCAAGAAGCTCTATAAACCCCAAGCAGAATCTCACACACACACACACACACACACACACACCCCTAGGCACACACCTGTAGATCAAGTGCTTAAACAAAAGACAAAGAAAAACCCTAAATGCAGCCAGAGGGGGGAAAAGGACATATTGCTATCAAAGTAGCCAATTTTCTATGGAAATAATAGAAGGCAGAATTAAATGGAATGATGTAATTAAAGTGCAGACAGAAAGTAACTCTCAAAACATACTTAGGAGAAAATATACGTTGAAATTAAAATAGTTTTGCAGAAATTTACAGTTTATAAAATTCACCTAGAATGCAAAGGACAAAAAAATAGGCCCTTGAAGAACAATCAGGAGGATTTACACTATCAGTTATGGTAATGACACTGACACAGGCAGAAGAACAGTCAAAATGATGAATAAAGAGTCCAAAAACAGACCCACACATATGAGGTCATCTGATTCATGAATATGGCAGCTGTCACTGTTATGCAGTAGAATAATAAATGGTGCTCAGTTTAGGGATAGCCACATGGGGAAAACAATGCATCTTAATCTCTACCTCATATCATACACAAAAATCAATTCCAGATGGGTGGCAAATCAAAATGTAAAAGGTGAAAGAATAAAGCTTTAAAAAGGAAACAGGAAAATATCACAGTTACTTTAGGGAAGGTAAACACTTCTTAAATAGGACACAAATGGCAATCATAATCATAAGGGAAATCTTTCAAAAATAAAAACATATTAAACTATATTAAAATTATTAAAATTAAGACCATGTATTCACCTAAGACAGCCTGGGGAGTGAAAAAGCAAGTCATAAAATTGAAGGTATTTTCCCAAAAGTTTCATAAGGAGAATATCTTTTAAAATCACTCACTGTCTCACTCACACACACACACACACACACACACCAACAAGAATAAAACAACCAAGCACATATATAAAGTCAAAACACACTTTAGGCCAGGCACGGTGGTTCACGCCTGTAATCCCAGCACTTTGGGAGGCCGAGGCGGGCGGATCATGAGGTCAGGAGATCGAGACCATCCTGGCTAACACGGTGAAACCCCGTCTCTACTAAAAATACAAAAAAAAAAAAAATTAGCCAGGCGTGGTGGCAGGCGCCTGTAGTCCCAGCTACTCGGGGGGCTAAGGCAGGAGAATGGCGTGAACCTGGGAGGCGGAGCTTGCAATAAACCGAGATCACGCCACTGCACTCCAGCCTGGGCGACAGAGCAAGACTCTGTCTCAAAAAAAAAAAAAAAACACTTCATAAATACACAAATTTAGTCAATACACTTGACTTGGGTAGTGGTTATATAAGTGTGTTCATATTATAAAAGTTTACCATGCTGTTTACATACTATTCGTACACATTAAACTATCTTACAATTCAATAAGATAGTTTATTTAAAAATGGATGCATCTGGCCGGGCATGGTGGCTCACACCTGTAATGCCAGCACTTTGGGAGGCTGAGGCGGGCAGATCACCTGAGGTCAGGAGTTCAACACCAGCCTGGCCAACATGGCAAAACCCCATTTCTACTGAAAATACAAAAATTAGCCAGGCATGGTGGCGGATGCCTATAATCCCAGCCACTGGGGATGTGAGGAAGGGAGAAGTGCTTGAACTGGAAAGGCCAAGGTTGCAGCGAGCTGAGTTCGCACCGCTGGACTCCAGCCTGGGCGACAGAGTGAGATTCCATCTCAAAAAAAAAAAAAAAAAAGTGGATGCATCTATCATTATTCATACAAAGCCACTTCTTTCAAAGATTCTTCCCTGAAAAGCAACAGCAGCACATAATACCAAAAGCAGGCTGCCAGGAAACAACTATGGGAGACTCCCTATCATCATATCATTACTACTGTATAATTTTCTTTTAAACCATGCCACTTTAATAGCTTCTACCTATAAAATGTACACAATGTCCTAAGACTGTATTAAATACTTTATATACATTATGGAGTTTAACCTTCACAACAACCTGTGAGGTAGTTACTATCATCATTATATTACAGATGACTAAACTGAGGCCAAGAAAGGTCAAACAACTTGCTCAGGGTGACACAATAAGTGGCAGAACTAAAATTATAAGCCTGTGAATAAATACGGAAATATAATTAGTTACTTAATATTTAGGACTATCAGACATAAGTATATTGTTTCATGGTTTTATGACTTAATTTTTTTTAAAAAAAAGCAATTTAGAGCAAGTAAAATCTTTAATAAATTTAAACACATATTTCTGTCATATTAGACAGCTTCAAAACCATATTACAAGCAAAAATTCCCTCAATGAATTTATTTTTTCTAAGTATTTTGTTTGAAAATGGTATCCTGTTTTTACAATCACAAATTGACAATTTCTATAATTATATTTAACCATTTACAATGAATGCTTTCCTTAGATTAGAAGTATAATTTTATTTTCATTTTACTATTACTCAAAATCAAATACATTCCTATAACATACACGTAAAAATTAAGTAAAAGAGTTATCTATAAATGTTGATATACCAATTCTCATTTAAGTATATTAGATTTCAGTTGCCTCTTCTATAAATTAAGTTAGACGAAATGTCTATGTAAATGTTTTCTAAAATATCTTCAGCTTTAAAGTTATGTGCTTCCAGCCGGGTACAGTAGCATGCCCACCTGTAGTCCCAACTACTCAGGAGGCTGAGGCAAGAGGAACGCTTGAGCCCAGGAGTCCAACAGCAGCCTGGGCAACATATAGCTGCAGTGAGCCATGATCACACCACTACACTCCAGCCTGGATGACACAGTGAGACTCTGTCTCCAAAAAAAAAATAAAAAAATTGTTTAGGAAGCCAGGAAAGAAAGTTTCAATAAAATATACACTAACTGTGCTGAATGATAAAGGTCCAAACAGATGAGGACTTAAAAAACAAACAAACAAAAAATCCACCAGATTTGGTGATTAACAAATAACTCATCAGTGTCTTCGAGAGATTTTCAGGAAGATGAGAGAAAATCCTTGGAGAAGGATTGTGGGAAATAGAGATCCACAACTGAGCTCAAATCATAGCTCTGCAGTTTATTAGCTGTGCACCACTGGACAACCTGCTTAGCATATCTGAATCTCAATGTCCCTATTTGTAAAATGAAGATAGTATTATCATCTATTATGGTTGGTGTCAGAGTAAAGGGTAATTATGCAAAGTTTCTAGCACAGCGGCTGAACCTAAGCAGTCAGTAAATATCATTATTTCATGAACTGTTTACTTTTAGATTCTTATTCCTCATATAAGAGCATCTACCTTAATAACATATGAAAGAGAAAACAGACCTAAAACTTATTTCAAGGTAATACAGAGTAGTGAAAAATTAAAATTAAAAAAAGGCCAGGCATGGTGGGTCAAGCCTATAATCCCAGCACTTTGGGAGGCTGAGGCAGGCAGATCACTTAAGGTCAGGAGTTCGAGACCAACCTGGCCAACGTGGTGAAACCCTGCCTCTACCAAAAAATACAAAAGTTGGTCAGGCATGGTGGCGCAAGCCTGTAATCCCAGCTACTTGGGAAGCTGAAGCAGGAGAATCATCTGAACTCGGCGGGCAGAGGCTGCAATGAGCCAAGATTGTGCCACTGTACTCCAGCCTGGGCGACAGAGCAAGACTCTGTCTCAAAAAACAAAAATAAAAAAAGTTTTGGTTTTTGCCTATTCAAAGCCAATAATGTGAAAGACCAGAAATATCCTTGTCATGATAAGAATGTGAAGAAAAGAGCATTTTCACACTACTGATGAGATGATAAACCAGACTAGCTTATTTCTGAAGGAAATCCGGCAGCGTCCATGAGCAAAAGGTCAAAAGGTACATATGCTTTGACCTAACAATTCTCCCTCTAGAAATATGTTATGAAAATGTGCCTACAAGTATCCATAGACACAGAAGAAGGTTCTCTCTGACATAATCAAAAAACTGAATGTGTATCATTGAGGACTGGTTAAATGAAGCATAATATGTATTTTGTAAAATTATAAAATACAGCCACAATATAAAAGGAGAAATTGTCCCTACTTCATGTCCTTTCTCTATTATCAAATTTTGTCTGACAGAGCTTCCATTACCTCTTTTTTTTTTTTTGAAATGGAGTTTTGCTCCTGTTGCCCAGGCTGGAGTGCAATGGCATGATCTCGGCTCTCCGCAACCTCCGCCTCCTGGGTTCAGGCAATTCTCTTGCCTCAACCTCCCGAGTAGCTGGGATTACAGGCATGCGCCACCAAGCCCAGCTAATTTTGTATTTTTAGTAGAGACGGGGTTTCTCCATGTTCGTCAGGTTGGTCTCGAAGTCCCGAATTCAGGTGATTCACCCGCCTCGGCTTCCCAAAGTGCTGGGATTACAGGCATGAGCCACTGCGCCTGCCCGCTTCCATTACTTTTTTAATTTAAAAAATATTTAATTGGCCAGGTGCAGTGGCTCACACCCATAATCCCAGCACTTTGGAAGGCCAAGGTGGGTAGATCACGAGGTCAGGAGATGGAGACCATCCTAGCCAACATGGTGACACCCCGTCTCTACTAAAATACAAAAAATTAGCTGGACGTGCTGGTGCACGCCTGTAGTCCCAGCTACTTGGGAGGCTGAGGCAGAGGAATCGCATGAACCTGGGAGGCGGAGATTGCAGTGAGCCAAGATGGTGCCACTGCACTCCAGCCTGGTGACAGAGAGACTCCATTTCAAAAACATAATATATATATATACACATATATATCAAATAATTTTTAATTTAGTATATTGGTTTTTAGATATACACGACATTCTTTGTAATGCAATGTTTTCTCACGAAAGAAATGTTTGTTCCTTTTAATGTCAAAGTTTAGCACATATTAGATTCTCTGTCCTAAGTAATACAATCTTGCCACACCAGCTGATGCCTAAATTATTCACTGGCCACTGAACTGGCACTCTTTCATGGTGGCACACATGCTGTTAATAACATTCAGCGTGCTGAATTCCATTCACAGGAAAATGCTGAAGACTCAGAACAAATAGGTACACACATTTTGAAGTGTGTGAGGTCGGGAAGGACATCTAATCCATGATACCATTACATTCTATTGACATAGTACATTCATGAAGCTATATGCACTTTTAAAACAAAGCTACATATATAGCACAAGGAAAAAAAACTAATAACCTTTGACATTAAAGGCTTTTATTCCAAAAATTTTAAAACCACCACTAAAGTCTTCTTTTAACCTACGAGTAACTACAGTCAGCCTTCTGTACCTGCAGTTTCTACACTCATGGTCTTAACCAACCACAGATTAAAAAACAGACGATCATATCTGTACAGAACACGTACAGACTTTTTTTCCTTGTAAATATTCCCTAAACAATACAGTATAATAACTGTTTACAAAGTATTTACATTGTATTAGGCATTATAATAAGTAATCTAGAGATTAAAGTATACAGGAGGCAGTGCATAGGTTACGTGGAAATACTATGCCATTTTATATAAGGGACTTGAGTGTCTGTGGATTTTGATGTCCGTGGGGGGTCCTGGAACCAATCCCTCAGATATCAAGGGACAACCACATCTAATGGGTATAAACAATTCTTAAATACAGTCATTAAAACCTGATATGAAATGACAGATCAGACTGGTTTGCATGGTATTACATTTACTACATATTTTACAGCTACAGTGTACAGAATTAAATAAACTCACTTTGTGACCAAGCCTTTAAAAATGTTTTTGCCCTATGCCTAACTAGTATTCTTTAACATCTATGTATTACTGTCTTACAATCTAATGTCACACCTAAGGAAAGAGGATAGAAATACATACTTTAACTCATTAATGTACAAACATATAAAATTAAGTAGCCTCAAAAGTCACATATAAAAATCAGTAATAGCATTAAGATTAAAATTAACAGCTCCTGGTCCACTCGTTCTATGCAAATTTGATTATATTATTATTCTTATCTTCTTCATATTATTGAAATCACTTATTGAATCAAACGCACTGGTTTACCATTATATAACAACAAATAAGTGGCCAGGCACAGTGACCCATGCCTGTAATCCCAGCACTTGGGAGGCCAAGGTGGGTGGACCACTTGAGGTCAGGAGTTCGAGACCACCCTGGCCACATGGTGAAACCTCTTCTCTACTAAAAATACAAAAATTAGCCAGGTGTGATGGCAGGTGCCTCTAATTCCAGCTATTTGGGAGGCTGAGGCAGGAGAATCATTTGAACCAGGGAGGCGAAGGTTGCAGTGAGTAGGCATTGTGCCACTGCACCCCAGCCTGGGAAACAGTCAGACTCCTTCTCAAAAAAAAAAAAAAGAAGTAAGGAATTATCATAGAGAAGTTCATTGGAGAGAATCAAGTAAGGATTCATTAAAATGTAGGAAAATGATTAGATGTGAAACATGATACCATTTTTCATTTCAGGAAGGAATGGAGGGCAGTTAGGAAAAATTGGGAAGGAAGGAACCTAGAAGTTACAAGTGTCTAGGCACACAGGAATCATAGAATTCTGGAACTGAAAGGGATTCTAGATAACCTTCACAGGATCTAACACTTTAGATATCTAGATTGATTACAATGCTGTTTCCAAATGAATAGAATTTAGTACATGGTAAAGTAGTAGTATTGCTTCTCCCTCTCCCTCTAAGGAGTTTCATTCCTTAGGTACTGTACAGGTCTCCTGAGTCACACAAATTTTTGGTTTCCCAGTACATATAAAAGTACTTAAGAGACCTATCTAAAATATATTCTCATGGCACAGAGCCCAAGGACAATATTCTAAGCAAGGTACTGTACTGTACTCGTGTGTGTGTGTGTGTGTGTGTGTGTGTGTGTGTCAGACAGGGTTTCACTCTGTTGCCCAGGCTGGAGTACAGTGACACAATCACAGTTCACTGCAGCCTTGATTTCCTGGGCTCAAGTAATCCTCCCACCTCAGCATCCCAGATAGCTGACAGGTAGATCCTCACACCTCAGCCTCCCAGGTAGCTGAGATTACAGGTGTGCTCCACCATGCCCAAGTTTTTTTTTTTTTTTTTTATAGAGATGGGGTCCCAATATGTTACCCAGGCTGGTCTTGAACTCCTGGGCTCAGGCAATCCTCTTTGGCCTACCAAAGTGCTGGGATTACAGGCATTAGACACTATACCTCACCCTTAGTTCTGATTTTTAGAAACATGTTAATTTTGCACATGGTGAAATCAATCAATCAACAAGGACATGGGAGACCCAAAATGGAATACAAACAGAAACAAATAAACTTAACTGTATTTCAAAAATAATAACATAATCACACTGAAGGTGGGAGAGAAGGAGTTTGGGGAGGAACTAACCTAAGTAACTTTGGAACACAGTATTTTGACTACATACTCCAAGTCTCAGGCTAAAGAATAAAAGAGCTGCAAATACATGTTGTACTCTGGTTACTAAATTAGGAGTGGCAGGGGTGAACAATTCTAAAACTCCTTTAAATGTATTCCAAAATTGAGCAAATAAGTAACATATTGTGGCTAATGAGAGTCAGTTTCTTGGTGTCAAATGAGGGATTACACATAAGAAAGAACAAACTCTCAGGTATCAAAATTGGACATATCAGCATGAATTTATGATTTTAATATACAAACAGATAGACATAGAAATATACACATAAAACCGGGTGTGGTAATTGTAGCACTTTGGGAGACCAACACTGGCAGATTGCTTCAGCTCACCCTTGGCAACATGGCAAAACCCTGTCTCTACAAAACAATACAAAAATTAGACAGGCATGGTAGAATGCACCTGAAGTCCCAGCTACTCAGGAGGCTGAGGTGAGAGGGTCATATGAGCCCGGCGGGGTGGAGGTTGCAGTAAGCCAAGATCATGTCACTGTACTCCAGTCTGGGTGACTGAGTGAGACTCTCAAAAAAACAAAACAAAAAAATACTACACACATAAACACCCACAAATATATCAACATACAGGAATACCTCAGAGATATTGCAGGTTTGGTTCCAGACCACCACAATAAAGCAAATACCCCAATAAGGTGAGTCACACAAATTTTTTGGTTTCCCAGTACATATAAAAGTTATGTTTACATTATACTGTAGTCTATTAAGTGTGCAACAGCATTATGTCTAAAAAAATGTATAGCTCTTAATTTAAAAATACTTGATAGCTAAAAAATGCTAACAGGAATCTGAACCTTCAGTTGTAATACTTTGGCTGGTTGGCTGGTGGAGGGTCTCACCTTAATGTTGATGGCTGCTGACCAATCAGGATGGTGGTTGCTGAAGGTTAAAATGGCTGCAAGTTCTTTTTTTTTTTTTGCGATGGAGTCTTGCTCTTGTCACCCAGGCTGGAGTGCACTGGCAAGATCTCTCAGCTCACCGCAACCTCCGCCTCCCAGGTTCAAGCGATTCTCCTGCCTCAGCCTTCCGAGTAGCTGGGATTACAAGCACCTGCCATCACGCCCAGCTAATTTTTGTATTTTTAGTAGAAGTAGAGACAGGGTTTCGCCATGTTGGCCAGGCTGGTCTCGAACTCCTGACCTTGTGATCTGCCCGCCTCAGCCTCCCAAAGTGCTGGGATTATAGGCATGAGCCGCCGTGCCTGGCCTCTTTTCTTTCTTTCTTTTTTTTTTTTTTTTTTTTTTTGAGACAGGGTCTCACTCTGTCACCCAGACTTGAGTGCAGTGGCACAGTCTCTGCTCACCGCAACCTCTGCCTCCCAGGCACAAGCAATCCTCCCACCTCAGCATCCAAGAAGCTACGACTACAGACACACACCACCAAGCTCAGCTAATTTTTGTGTTTTTGTAGAGATGAGGTCCCACCACATTGCCCAGGCTGGTCTGGAACTCCTGACTTCATGATCCTCCCACCTCAGCCTCCCAAAGTGCTAGGATAACAGGCGTGAGCCACTGCACCTGGCCAACGATGTCTCAAAGACTATAGTAAAGTTTGCCACATTGATTTGCTCTTTCATGAAAGACTTCTCTGTAGAACGCGATGCTATTTAATGATGTTTTACCCACAGGAGAACTTCTTTCAAAATTGGAGCCAATCCTCTCAAACCTTGCTGCTGGCTTTATCAACTAAGTTGATATAATAGTCTAAATCCTTTGCTATCATTTCAATTGTTCACAGCATCTCCACCAGCATTAGATTCCATCTCAAGAAACCACTTTCTTTTCTTTTTTTTTTGAGACAGAGTCTCGTTCTGCAGCCCAGGCTGGAATTGCAGTGGCATGATCTCGGCTCACTGCAACCTCTGCCACCCAGGTTCCAGCGATTCTCCTGCCTCAGCCTCCCGAGTAGCTGAGATTACAGGCACCTGCCACTGTGCCCGGCTAATTTTTGCATTTTTAGTAGAGACAGGGTTTCACCATATTGGTCAATCTGGTCTTGAACTCCTGACCTCGTGATCCACCTGCCTCGACCTCCCAAAGTGCTAGGATTACAGGCGTGAGCCACCGCGCCCGGCCCAAGAAACCACTTTCTTTGCTCATCCAAAAGAAGCAACTCGTCTAGGCCAGGCACAGTGGCTCACACCTGTAATCCCAGCACTTTGGGAGGCCGAGGCAGGTAGATCACTTGAGGTCAGGGGTTCAAGACCAGCCTGGCCAACATGGTAAAACCCAGTCTCTACTAAAAATACAAAAATTAGCCAGGCATGGTGGCAGGCACCTGTAATTCCAGCTACTTGGGAGGCTGAGGCAGGAGAATTGCCTGAACCCAGGAGGTGGAGGTTGAAATGAGCCAAGATTGCACCACTGCACTCCAGCCTGGGCAACACAGACTCCATCTCAAAACAAACAAACAAAAAGAAGCAACTTGTCAATAGGTCAAGTTTAATCGTCAGATTGCAGCAAGTCAGTCCCATCTTCAGACTCCACTTCTAATTCTACTAACTCCACTTCTAATTCTACTAATAGTTCTCTTGCTATTTCCACCATATCTGCAGTTACCTCCTCAAGACTGAAGTCTTGAACCCCTCGAAGTCATCCATGAGGGTTGGAATCAACTTCTTCCAAATTCCTGTTAATGCTGCCATGAATCATGAATGCTCTTAATGGCATCTACAACAATAAATCCTTTCCAGAAGGTTTTCAATTTACTTTGCCCAGATGCATCAGAGGAATTACTATCTATAGCAGCTATGGCCTTACCAAACATATTTCTTAAAGAATGAGACTTGAAAGTAAAAATGACTCCCTGATGCATGCAGGGACTGCAGAATGGATGTTGTGTTAGCAAACATGAAAACAATATTATTCTCCCTATATATCTCCATCAGAGCTCTTGGGTAACCAGGTGCCTTGTTAATGTGTAGTAATAAATATTTTGAAATATTTTTCTCTGAGCAGTAGGTCTCAACAGCATGCTTAAAATATTCAGTAAACCATGCTGTAAATAGATATGCTCTAATCCAGGCTTTGGTATTCCATTTCTAGAACATAGGCAGAGTCGAGGCAGAGTCGATTTGGCGTAATTCTAAAGGGCTCTGGGATTTTCAGAATGGTAAGTGAGCATTGGCCACAACTTAAAGTCACCAGCTGCATTATCCCAACAAAGCTAGCCTGTTCTGGCTGGGTGCGGTGGCTCACACCTGTTAATCCCAGCACTTTGGGAGGCCAAGGAGGGAGGATCACTTGAGGTCAGGAGTTCAAGACCAGCCTGGCCAACATGGTGAAACCCTGTCTCTACTAAAATACAAAAATTAGCTAGGCATGGTAGTGCGCCCCTGTAATCCCAGCTACTCGGGAGGCTGAGGTAGGAGAATCGCTTGAACCTGGCAGGTAGAGGTTGCAATGAGCCAGGATCACACCACTGCACTCCAGCCTGGGTGACAGAGCAAGACTCCATCTCAAGAAAAAAAAAAAAAAAAAAAAAAAAAAGCCTGTTCTTTGAAGTTCTGAAGCCAGGCATTGACTTCTCTCTAGCTATGAAAGTCCTAGATGGTATCATCTTACAATATAAAGCTGTTTCATCTACATTAAAAATCTGTTGTGTAGTGTAGCCACCTTTACCAATGATCTCAGCTAGATCTTCTGCATCAGCCCTTGCTGCTTCACCTTGCACTTTTATGTTATGGAGAGGCTTCTTTCCTTAAACCTCATGAATCAACCTCTGCTAGTTTCCATCTTTTCTTCTGCAGCTTCCTCACCTTTCTGCACTTTCATAGAATTGAAGAGAGTTAAGGCCTGGCTCTGGCTTAGAGTTTGGCTTAAGGGAATGTTGTGACTAATTTGATCACTTATCCAGACCACAAAAATCTCTTCCAGCAGGGCGCGGTGGCTCACATCTGTAATCCCAGCTCTCTGGGAGGCCAAGTTGGGTGGATCCCCTGAGGTCAAGGGTTCAAGACCAGCCTGGCCAACATGGCGAAGCCCCGTCTCTACTAAAAATACAAAAATTAGCCAGGCGTGGTGGTGTGCACCTGTAATCCCAGCTACTCGGGAGGCTGAGGCAGGAGAATTGATCCAACCCAGAAGGCAGAGGTTGCAGTGAGCCAAGATTGTGCCACTGCACTCCAGCCTAGGCAACAGGGTGAGAGACTCCATCTCAAAAAAAAAAAAAAAAAATCTTTTCCATATCAGCAATAACACTGTTTTGCTTTTTTACCATTTACTACTCACTGGAGTAGCACTTTTAATTTCCTTCAGAACTTTTCCTTTGTATTCGCCACTTGACTGTTTGCCACAATAGGCCTAGCTTTCAGCCTGCCTTGGCTTTCCACACGCCTTCCTCGCTAAACTTAATCATTTCTAGCTTTTGATTTAAAGCAAGAGACATGAGATCTTCCTTTCTCTTAGAACACTGAGAGGCCACTGCAGGGTTACTAACTGGCCTACTTTCAATATTGTTGTGTCTCAGGTAATAGGGAGGCCAGAGGAGAAGGAGAGACCAAGGATCAGCTGGTTGTTAGAGCAGTCGGAGCTCACACATTTATTACGTTCACCATCTTATATAGGCACAGTCTGTGGTGCCCCAAAACGATTATAATAGTAACATCAAAGACTACTGTTCAAAGATCATTGTAACAAATAATAATAAAGTTTGAAATATCATTAATTACCAAAAAGTGACATAAAATGAGCGCATGCTGTTGAGAAAATGGCACCAACAGACCTGACACAAGGTTGCCACAAACCTTCAATTTGTAAAAAGCATGTATATGTGAAATGCAATAAAGCAAAACAAGAAAACAAGGTATGCTTCTATATTTTCTAACTTTGCCACTCAAAAGACCTAAAAGAAGTAATATCCTAGAACCACTGAGCATACCTGACCTGTGTCCAGGTCCTGTTTTCCAAAAGCCATTCTCCAATAAAAGGAACAAGTGCTCCTTAGAGGTCCAATCCAAGGGCTGGACAGAAAAAGCACAAGGTAAGTCAGAACATCTGTGGTGCCAGAAAGTAAACCCTGAAGAAAGGATGCGGCCATACCACAGGGACACTGGAAAAAGCCTAAAGAAAGATGCTCTCTCTGAACCATCTGGGATAATTTACTGAACAAAACAAAGAATGATGAGTGATATTTACAACCCATTGAATTAAACAAAAATCTATGAGTCCATACTGAAAGAAAGGAAGGGAGGGGGAAAAAAAGCTCTTCTTGTGGAAGAATTCCTAATAGAGGAACTACAGAATTAGAAAACCATTTGGCAAACCTCAGTTAAGGCCAAACTCATCAACAATGCTAAAATTGGTCAGTGAATACAAGATAAGAAATAGTACGTGTGAATAGTCTCAAAGTATCTCTCCACAAGATATTGTACTTATTAATTACAAAGAAAAAAATGGTAACTTTATAGTGATAAAAACCTGGCAGTTACACCACCTCAACCAAGTGATCAAAGTTCGCCTTACCAATAATGGGACAAATTGACATCATGCGCCTCTCAATATGTGTGGACACAACATCAGTTCTGTGAAGTTCCTGCCAAAAGTGCAAAACCTGAATCTAATCGTGAGAAAACATCAGCCATAAGCAAACTGAGGAACAGTCTACAAAATAACTGGCCAGTACGCTTCAAAAGTGTCAGAGGCATGAAGGCAAAGAAAGATGTAAGGAGCTGCTGCAGCTGTCGGGCCTTAACCTGGGTACTATGTGAACGAGGTTCTGCGCAGGTGCGCTGACTCCGACCACAGGCGGAGCCTACGCCCGAAGGTTTCATAACGACGCAACATAAGCTTGAATTCACGTTTTATTGCGAGGCCTCCACAGCCAACCAATCACACAACCAATATTCAACACAGAGGCAGAAGAAAAGGGGGTTGTGGGGAACAAAGCACAACCCTGGCTAGGGAGACCAACAGGCAAACAGATGAGCCGAACAGTCCCGAAGTCCTTCGGATGCCATGGGCGGGGATGGGGTGGAGTTGTGGGGGGGGGGCGGTGGTGGCTGCTTCTCTCCAGGTGGCAGCAGATGCCAAATCGGGAGGAAGCTTCAGAGGTCTCCTGGGCACAGCCTCTAAAAGCGTCTCGTCCTGGCACATTTTATGATCCTCCCAAATGGGTCTATTCTCATTATCTCAGCCACCTTTCACTTTCTACGGGTTCGTTTCAAGTCTCAGGTGGTACCCGGTGAGGGCAGATGTTGTCACAGCAGTCCATTACATATGTTTATCGCTGGGGGGGAAGGGGCGACTTTGCTGTGAGCTCAATGCTACTTGACATGAGTGACTCCATTTTGAGACATGAGAATGACATCATTATGATATATCACCAGATTAGAGGACACTAATGAGACAGGGCAAATAATGTAAACATGTGATGAAGGACTGAATTCTGCACGAGAAAAAAAGGTCCATTAGTGGGACAGTTGGCAAAATCTAAATAAAGTCAGTAAATTAGCTAACAGTATTGAGTTGATTTTAATTTCCTCAAAACCAAATTGCATTCATGAGCTGGGTGGCTGATGACTGCAGTCCCAGCTACTCAGGAGGTGTGAGGCAGAAGGATTGCTTGTGCCCAGGAGTCTGACACTGCAGTGAGCTATGACTGCACCATTGCACTCCAGCCTGGGCCACAAAGCAAGACCTTGTCTTTAAGAAAAGAAAAAAAAATAGTTTAAACAGTTCATCAAATCAATAATATTGAACTGATGTTAACTGATGACGATTTTGATAATTGTACTGAAGTTATGCAAGAGAATGTCCTTATGTTTAGGAAATGTACACTGAAGCATTTAGAGGTAAAGCAACTTCGTATCACACCCTGTAGGAAAAGGTAGGTGGGTGGGTAGGTGAGGGTGGGTGTGTGGGTGTGTAAAGAGAGAATGATTGATAAAACTAGGGTGGTCAAACACTAACGTGAAACACTGGGGAATCTGCATGAAGGATAACAGGAATCCTTTGTACTATTTTTTACAACTTTTTTCGTATGCCTAAATTTACTTATTTTGTATGTTGAAGATAATTTCAATGTAAAAGTTAAAGAAAAAAAAGGAACTAAAAAAGTTTAAACTTCTCTTGTTCTCTCTCCTTGCTCCAACTACGTTTTTTTTTTTTTCTTTTTCAGATGGAGTCTCGCTCTGTTGCCCAGGCTGGAGTGCAATGGCGCGATCTTGGCTTGGTGCAACCTCCGCCTCCCGGGTTCAAACGATTCTCCTGCCTCAGCTTCCTGACACGTGCCTGCCACCATGCCCGGCCAATTTTTGCATTTTTAGTAGAGACGGGGTTTGACCATGCTCGCCAGGCTGGACTCGAACTCCTGACCTCAGGCGATCCACCTGCCTCGGCCTCCCAAAGTGCTGGGATTACAGGTGTGAGCCACGGCACTCAGCCTCTCCAACTACTTTTTTTTGTTCTTTGTCTACCCATTAGATTGCAAACACCATAAAAGCAGAGACTCATTTTGTTCTCCTCCTGTACAAGCAGCACCAAGCACCACACTTTACATTTTAGAGGCACTAAAGTATTTTGATATTTAATCTTGGACCATATTACAGTTTCTATTCACATATCTTTTCATTGACACAATTTTAATACATTCTACTGATGAATGTATACGTAAAATGTGGTATATATCTACACAATGGTTTATTATTTGGTAATAAAAAGTAGTAAGTATTGATACATCCTACAACATGGATGAACCTTGAAAATATTATGTTAAGTGAAAAAAAAACTCAGTCGAAAAGGACCATATATTGTATGGTTACATGTATATGACATGTCCAGAATAGATGATCTACACAGGCAGCAAGTAGATTAGTGGTTGCTTAGGGCTGGGGGTGATGGGCAGACTGGGGAACAATGGCTAAAAGGCACACGGGCTTCTTTTGAGGGTAATGTAAATATTCAAAAATTGTGTCAGGTGAGAAATAATTTGGCCAAAAAAATTTTAAACTTAAAATTTTAATTGATTGTGCTGATGATGGCACAACTATAAATATACTAAAAGCCATTAAATTGTATACTTAAATGAATGAATTTCAAGGTATGTAGATTATATCTCAATAAAGCTGTTTTTAAAAACAAAAACAAAACAAAAAAACTTAAGAGCTCTGCTAGAATTTTTAATAGAAGGCCCGATATATGTAGTCGACTATCTGTGTCTATGTAAAGTCCTTTATGTAGTAAAGTACTACACATTTGCAGCCACAGGTATGGCGCTGAAAACCATTTCATTTGGCCGGGAGCGGTGGCTCACGCCTGTAATCCCAGCACTTTGGGAAGCTGAGGCGGGTGGATCACAAGGTCAGGAGATCGAGACCATCCTGGCTAACACGGTGAAATCCCGTCTCTACCAAAAATACAAAACAAATTAGCCAGGCGTGGTGGCGGGCGCCTGTAGTCCCAGTTACTCGGGAAGCTGAGGCAGGAGAATGGCGTGAACCCGGGACGCGGAGCTTGCAGTAAGCAGAGATTGTGCCACTGCACTCCAGCCTGGGCAACAGAGCGAGACTCCATCTTAAAAAAAAGAAAACCATTTCATTTTAGAATTTCCTAATCTTCTATTAAAACTAAACTCAATTGACAATCTTGTATTTGTCTAATAAAGGTTCCCAAACAACTACTTTATGATATACAAAAGAAATCACCAGCAATTTCATCCCAATGCTGAGCTTTTTTAGGTTAAGAGTGGCTTAGTGAGAGAAAATGCTCAAGACCAGTCAACCCTGGCTCCTTCTCTGCTGTGCTCTCAAGGGTCATTCTGGGGTCATCGCTCCCCTAGAAGCCTTCCCTGCCCCTCAGATCAGGCTCGGAGCCCTCCTTTGGGTTCCTATATCACCCTGCACACACCTCTCCACCCTGGCATTTCTTGAAGCAAACTATTTTTCCCCTCCATTAAATGATGAAATCATTAATCAAATAAATTAATGAACATACATAAATCACCTTTGTATTCTTAGCACCTAGCACTGTACCAGCACCCAAAAAGGCCTAACAAAATTTGTAAAGTTAAACTTACAGTGTGAATTTGAACCTGTCTGACTTACATAAGTCCCAGTTTTCTCCTTATCAAAGAATAATGCCACCCAGTCTTAACTACCCCATAGAGAAGTGAGAAACAAACTAGAAAATATAACGAAAGGCACTTTGAAAAAATGATGCATTATACATACACGGTGTTTCATCATAAAGTACCCTATGTAAAATATTAGCCGTTATTTTACGGGTCTTCCTATGTAGCTTAATTTTGTTACAGAAACTTTGATACTTCTGGATCTAAGAAGGCATGAGAGGTAAGAATGCCATGAAAGAACAAATATGTCTAAATTAACTGTTTATCATTACATACCTTTTTGTTAACTATTACATGCAAAATAGCATTTTTTAAAACTCAACAGCAATTAATGCTAAATTACTCAGTAGAGTAGCAAAGAATATAACTGCTACACAGGTTATTTTTACAGCCCACTTTCCTGTCTCTGTGTTCTGAAATGACTTAGAATCGCAGGCTAAAATTCTATATTTAAAAAGAAAGAAAGAAAAAGAAAAAGAAATTCATGACCTAAATGTTGCCACCACACCTCATAAATACAGCACCTTCTGCCGCTAAAGCCTTTTACACGTTTAAGAGCCCTACGTGTTCTTGACAGAAACCATACTCAAGCAGCTCAATTTAGAACATGCTGACCTTAAGCAAATCAATGCCCTTAGCACGTACTTCTGGCTTGTATCACTGCAAGAGTTAGACAGCCTCACCATCTATAGTAGTCAACAATTTCTGGCCACTGTCCCCTGTCTATTTTAAGATATCCCTACTACACTTCTGTGTTGCACAAAGAAATAGAATACACATAAACCTGAGTTTAAACACAAATCGTTTACCTCAGAAATCAGGATATGTGCATTCCTACTGTGCTTTGCTCAAAAATATTTAATTTGGTTAGTTTCCACTTCCTGCTTTCATTTATGAAATAAAAAATATTTTAACAAAAATTGAAAAATCAAGTATAAGACACTTTAGCTTACTGCCTTATCAGATTTATAAGTAACCTAGTCATAAACTAGGCCAGAATTGGCAGGGTCCCAAATAAAGTACAAACAAATACTTAAACAGAGTAGTGGTATCTGCCATTTTCATGCAAAATTACACTAGATATTAAAACAGTACCTGATTAAGGACTACAATATATTTTCACTGATATACCTGAATACTTACTAACTCTTCTAACTCTTGGATCTAAATGACATAAAATCTATTTTTAGTTTTTTATCGAGGCAACATCAACCAAAATGCCTGCACTAGTCTTTGTTTACAAATAAGAGCCTCTTATTTTTCACTCTAAACCCAGAGCCTGTAATTTAGCATAGCAATTGTATAGCTTCTGAACGTCGGGTAAATTATTTACCTGAAATTTATATATAAACACAAATTAGAAACTACTAACTGTATTTAGCAATTATTCATAGATTTGTTCATTCCTAATACAAAGGCTAGTATTTGTGCAAAGGCCTAATGCTAGAAACCAGTATCATAAAATATTCAGCATTTTAGATTGCTTTTTAAAGGATTTCCTTCATTCCCTTGAAAGATTTAGTAAACCGACAGACATTCTCAAGTATTAAAAAAAAAAAAGACTTTTTTTTTTAACTCTAGTGGAAAAAGATTTCAAATAAAGAAAATGAGGTAATTCTGATATGCAGAATAATGCAGGACCCAAATGAAGTGAAGTCATTTACTAGCAAGTGAACTAAATATAGGGCCCAAGCAGCTGAAGCCTGGGAGTTTATATAATATGCTAGCTCACTACTAAAAGCTCTCAAGACAGAATCCATAGAGTACCAAGGGAAAGAAAAAAACAAAAACTACTATTCTTCTCATACTGTTAAATAAGATTTTACAATTTTTTTCCAGAAAAAAATTAAAAGCTAATCTTGTATATTGAAAAAAAAATCTTTTGCGGAGCACAGATATCTAATAAATCTAATTATGTGATACTAAGCAAGAGCTACTACCCTGCAACAGCAAATTTAAAATTTTAAATGATCTGAAAAGTTTTAATGGTATCTAGCACTCTACTACTAAAACCCATACAATCAAGAATATACTAAGATACATAGCCAAAAGAATGAAAGTCTATCAAAGAGATATCTACAATCCAGTGTTTACTGCACGACTATTCACAATAGGCAAGATTTGGAATGAACCTAAGTGTCCCATCAACAGATGAATGGATAAAGAAAATGTGATACATATATACACAATGGATACAAAGAATGAGATCCTGTCAATTGCAACAACATGGATGGAACTGAAGGACATTATGTTACGTGAAATAAGCCAGGCACAGAAAGACAAAACTTCACAATGTTCTCGCTCATATGTGGGAGCTAAAAATTAAAACAATTGAACTCATGGAGATAGAGTAGAATGATGGTTACCAGAGTCTAGGAAGGGTAGTAGATGGGGGTAGGGAGTAGAGATGATTAAGGGGTCCAACTAAATAGTTAGAATGAATAATATGTAGTATTTGATAGCACAACAGAGTGACCACAGTCAAAAATAATTTATTGTTCATTTAACAATAAGTAAAGGAGTCTAACTGGAATGTTTGTAACACAAAGAAATGACAAATGCTTGAAGCAATGGATAGTCCATTTACCCTGATGTGATTATTATGTACTGTATGCCTATATCAAAATATCTCAAATACCTCATAAATATATATACCTACTATGGACCCATAAAAATAAAAATGTTTTTAAAAAAAGAATATACTAAAGGTATATCAGGCTGTTATTTCTAATTCCTAATACACACTTTATTTTTTTTTCAGAGGGTCTCACTCGGTCACTCAGGCTGGAGTGCAGTGGCATTATCATAGCTCACTGTAGCCTCTAACACCTGGGCTCAAGGGATCCTCCTACCTCAGCCTCTTGAATAGCTAAGACTACAGGCATTTACCAACATTCCTGGCTCATTATTTTTTTTCTTTTTTTGGAGAGGCAGGGTCTCGCTCTGTTGCCCAGGCTGATCTTAAACTCGTGGCCTAAAGCGATCCTCCCACTTCCCAAAGTGCTGGGATTGCAGGTGTCAGCCACCAAGCCCAGCTCAAATACATATTTTAATAAGCTTTACTAACACTAAGTGACATAAATGGGCAATTCTTTCTGATAACCTACTGGTAGGGCATGTATTTAGAGATGATTTGTGTAAGAGTTAATTAATTTCTCCTTTATTTTATACTGGGCACTATAGCATATACTTGCAAGAAGGGTAATCAGGTACAGTGAAAGGCAAATGCAGTATCAGAATATACTCCTTGGTGGGTCTAAATTTATATCCCCCATGTTCTAACCATTTCTAACAATAAACTGCATGAATGACCAATATTGGCAGATCCTGTATTTGTCTGTATTTGATGGCAGGTCCATCATGTTGGACCTCGTAGGGCTTAGCAAATACCAAGAACATAAATTCACTCAGGCTTATATGAAAATAATTTAAGCTCAAAGTTATCAAACTATGAATTCAAAGCCATTTTACACTCCAGAATGAGTTTTCAGTATTCTGAATCTTGGTAATCATTAGTTAGCCTCTCATACTATCTATTGCACTTCAGGCTAGTGTTACATTGTAGCACTTTATCAATACTTACATGGGCATTATTTTCTTCTTTAACTTCCCCCAAGAAGCAAGACCAAAATAGCATTACCCATAGCATATATGTGGATAGAACATAATAAAACTGGTTATGATCAGGTGACCTAAAGAGTCACGGGAGCCAAAGAAGTATATTTGTGTTTTGTTTTGTTTTTTTGAGACAGAGTTTTGCTCTTGTGGCCCAGGCTGGAGTGCAATGGCATGATCTCGGCTCACTGCAACCTCCATCTCCTGGGTTCAAGTGATTCTCCTGCCTCAGCCTCCCAAGTTGCTGGGATTATAGACACCCACCACCACACCCAGCTAATTTTTGTTATTTTTAGTAGAGATGGGGGTTTCGCCATGTTGGCCAGGCTGGTCTTGAACTCCTAACCTCAGGTCATCCACCCGCCTCAGCCTCCCTAAGTGCAGGGATTACAGGCATGAGCCACTGCACCCGGCTGTATATCTGAATCTTAAAATCATTAATCAGAATAACTTTCTGAATCCTTATACAGGTTGAGCATCTCAAATCCAAATATCTGAAACTTTTTGGGCATTGACATGACACTCAAAGGAAACGAATTTTCAAATTTGGGGGTGCTTAACTAGTTGGCAGTGCAAATATTCCAAAATCCGGAAAAATCTGGAATCCAAAACACTTCTGGCCCCAAAAGTTTCAGATAAGGGCTACTCAAACCTGTATATAATTTTTCTAAATGTTCAGTTACATATGATTGATTATATCTTTAATAAACTATTTCTCTCAAGTGCTAAAATGCCCAATGATATATACAAAGATTAATGTAAATACTTTCCAACATTTAAAGACTTCTGTTTGATCATTATTAATCACCTATCATTCCTTCAAGTCTTCCATTAAAAATAAAAATAACCAGATGTCTTTGGCATGGAACTTTGCAGTGGAGATTTCTATCCTGCTTGGGTAGATTTTATGTCTTGATTTTTTTTAATCTCTTTAAAACGAACCTAAATTGATCCTCTCTTGATTTCCTTATTTAACTGAAGTGGTCTCTTCTACCACAAACACACACAAAAGTATTTCATTTAGCAGAAATTTCACATTAATAAACAACCAAAAAGTATGGAGTTGTTACCTACCTGTAGTACCGAGATTGTAGATATGTTGAACAAACAGTCTTTGATACATGACTGGCCGACCCAAAGTCTATTACTTTAACCCTGTAAGGCTGCCGAACAGGATCCACCAACATAATATTCTCTGGCTTGAGATCAGCATGAATTAAACCAAGACTTTTCAATTTTTTCAGTGCAGTGGCCACTTGTTGAAGAATGGGCCGAATCACTTTTAGTGGCAGGGGACTAAATTTATTTTGTTTCAGAAAGTCATACAAGTTTTGTTCCAGCATCTCAAAGACTAAACAAGTATGGTTACGGTGCTGAAAGCATTCATAAGCTCGTACAAAGTTATATTCATCAGCATTTTCAGTACTGAGCCTTGCTAATATGCTCACTTCTATTTGACCTTGACGGGCATAAGAAGGATGATTCTTCAAAATTTTGATTGCTACAATTTCATTTGTCCCTCTTTTCCAGCATTTAACTACCTGGCCAAACGTGCCTCGACCAAGAAAATCAAGGACTTCGTAAGTATTTTTCATGGAGCATAAGACTTCATGCTGTACTAACTGATAGTCACCTTCTCCAGTGGTACAATTCTGTTTTGATCCTGTGGTAGCTGTCACAACTGTCACTGGATTTCCCATGTTGGTTTGCAACATTGCAGGAAGTATGGACAATTCATCGACAATCTGCATTGCGCTGCTATGATTATCCAACTCCTCACTCTTGCGCTTCAATCCACATCGCTGGGGGCCTTCTAGGAAATGCAATCTGTTTCGCCACGCCCCAATCTGAGGTGCCTGCACGTGAGCTTGCTGTGCCTGAGCTGCTATGACCTTTGTAGCACCTGCAGTGTTTTTCAAAACAACAGCACTTGTCTGCAATGAAAAGTTGTGTCCTCGAGGTCTATTAAATGGTATCTTTGTCTGAAAAGCACTACCCTTAGTGGGAGGATGAGAATTTCCAAAGTTTCTACCATTCACATAGGTCCGTGGATAGTTTCTTTCCTGGAATACACAACTGCTTGGCTCTACTTTGAGTTTCTTCACACTACAAAAGGCACTTGACTGAGTTTGATAAACATATGGTGGGTAGACCAAGACTTGTGAGGCCATACCTGCAAAAAAAAAAAAAAAAAGGAAAAGAAAAAAAAGGAAAGAAGAAATATTAATGTCAACAATTTTTTTTTCAATTTTAAATATCAGGAAGAAAACTCTTAAGGGTCAAATTCACAATTTGTAAAAAAGTAATTAATTTCCATGAAGATGATTTTTTCCCTTGGAGAAGATAACTATCTTTATAATATCTCCATTTCAGTTAATTGGTGCTTCAGCTATTCTGAGTATTGCGTTAAAAGGCTAAGAATAAAGAATCAAGTGCATTTAATTACTTAACAAATATTTACTGAGAAGCTGAAATGGCCAATATGCCCTAGAAACGGTGCCAACATTTTCCCTCAAAAGAAAAGTATAGATCCCTGTAATCCTAGCACTTTGAGAGGCTGAGGCAGTTGGATCACTTGAGGTCAGGAGTCCAAGACCAGCCTGGCCAACACGGTGAAGAAATCCCAACTCTACTAATAATGCAAAAATTAGCTGGGGATGGTGGTGCATGCCTGTGGTCCCAGCTACTCGGGAGGCTGAGGGAGGAGAATCGCTTGAACCTGGGAGGTGGAGGTTGCAGTGAGCCGAGATTGCACCACTGCACTTCAGCCTGTGAGACAGAGCAAGACTCTGTCTCAAAAAAAAAGTACAGATCCTTTAACTGTACACATTTGACAAAAGTAAAACATTCTATTACCAAATTCAAATGTATGAACCAATGACAAGAAAAGAAAATATACATTATATAAACATAGTTTATAGCCATATTTCTTAAACCTAAAGCCCAAGAATTGCCTCAGGAGGAAAAAAAATCTATGTCTGCTTTAACTATATATATATATATATATTTTTTTTTTTTGAGACAGAGTTTCGCTATGCCCCACCTATGGCAGGGATTTTAAATAAAATTAGGGTGCCAATTTCATGAATAGCTGATGCTACATTCTATTTACTAAAAATATTATCCTTTGATCTTAAAAAGCATTATATTACAAAGACAAGTTAATGACTTTCTACCCAGTTATATTCATGTTCCCATTCTTCTCAATGTGTACTTTATTATATGGATATTCCTTTAAACTTCCTCCAAATATATTGGAAAATATTTGAAATTTTCAAATCATATTTTCAAATCAAATTTCAAATCATATTTGAAAAACAGATTTAAAATCATTCTAAGGTTCTCAAGGACTAAATGACATTCTATTTATTTTATGCCTGCATCCAAAAAGGATGTGAGTTTATTGAGGCTGAAATAGCCAACATTCTTACCACACAACCATTAAATGTATAATGATTTTATAAACATTATTTGATTCAGATATAACATAGATATGAAAGAGGATCCAGTTTTATTCTGGCATATTTAATATTCTCCCCTATGACCTTATTTTACCAAATTAGAATTTATAAAATATGAAATCAACCTAGCAACTGCTGACCTATCTATAGGAACTCAAAACATATACACACATAAGAATGAATCCTCAGTACCATAGCTAGAAAAACTGATAATTACACAGGTGTTAGATCTGCCTTCCATCTACTTGGTCTGCCACAACAATATATAAACGTGTACGTCAAAACCACCATTTGACAGAATCATCACTTTAAGTAATACTCCATGTTTTCTACTTGCACAAAATTATCTTGGAATTTCCCTAATGGTAAAATCCTAATACAAATGATCAAGTGTAAAAATAAGCTGAGAAGCCAGATACAGGAACTTTGCATTATGTTCTCTTAATGTTTTTCTGCACATCTACCCTTTCTTCTTTTAACAAGGTCTCGCCTAGTCTGCAGTGCAGTGGCACAATCATAGCTCACTGCAGCCTCCAACTCCTGGCCTGAGTGATCCTCTCATCTCAGGCTCCCAAAATGCTGGGATTATAGGCATGAGCCACTGCACCCAGACTCACATCTACTATTGAACACTTTAAAAACTCTTTCAGATTTCAATCAAAGTAAAATAATATCTTCTTGCTGAAGCCTTTCCTGAAACATATAAACTCACCCTCTAGGCAGGGGTTAGCATTCAGTGCTCTCACAGTAGTTCCTAAATTCTTCTCATTTTGCGATTACAACATTTCATTATATTGTAATTGTCAGTGTATATATCTGTCTTTCACACTAGATCTAAAGCAAAGTGCCAAGGATATAGAGTTGGTGTTCAATAAATGTTGGCTTGTTGGTTGGTTGAAATATCTTCATTTTCTACAATTTAAAAATCTGTATTATATTAACTATGTGGTCTCCTACTCTTATAACAAATCACAAACATCAGTTCTTTAACTCAGAATCCACAGATTACCATCAATCTGTAATATCGATATTAAAAATGAGAGCAACTACCTACTGAGCACTTACTATGCAACAGTTTAACACTTTATTTACAATATTTTATCTAATCATAGCAATATCTTTCCAATTTGCTTTTAAGAAAACTAAAGTTGGCCAGGCACGGTGGCTCATGCCTGTATTCCCAGCACTTTGGGAGGCCGAGGCGGGCAGATCACTTGAGGTCAGGAACTCGAGACCAGCCTGGCCAACATGGTGAAACCCCTTCTCTACTAAAAATACAAAAATCAGCCAGGTGTGGTGGTGCACACCTATAATCCTAGCCACTGGAGAGGCTGAGGCACAAGAATCGCTTGAACCCAGGAGGCAGAGGTTGCAGTGAGCCGAGATCGCGCCACTGTACTTCAGCCTGGGCAACAGAGCGAGGCTCCGTCTCCAAAAGAAAAAAAAAAAAAGAAAACTGAAGTTTACCAAGACTAGGTAACTGGCCCATAGTCAATAGCTAAGGTATGGTACAAGGAACAAGTAAACGTACCACCTTTCAGATAAAAGGTGCAAATTTATACCTCCTATAGCTTCCTACAAGTTTTCTTGTGCACAGTCTACCACATTCCTAAGTTGACTTGACCTTAATAAATCTGCTACAAAACCTTACTAGACAAATTAAGACTTGATGTTCACTCTGTAAGAGAAAATTATAAATTGAAATTCCGGAGTTCCGCTGGGCGCGGTGGGTCACGCCTGTAATCCCAGCACTTTGGCAGGCCGAGGTGGGCGGATCACGAGGTCAGGAGATCCAGACCATCCTGGCTAACACGGTGAAACCCCGTCTCCACTAAAAATACAAAAAATTAGCCGGGAGTGGTGGCAAGTGCTTATAGTCCCAGCTACTCGGGAGGCTGAGGCAGGAGAATGGCGTGAACCCGGGAGGTAGAGGTTGCAGTGAGCAGAGATCGCGCCACTGCACTCCTTCCTGGGCGGCAGAGGGAGACTCCGTCTCAAAAAAAAAAAAAAGAAATTCTGGAGTTCCAAACATCTCATTGGCATCTACTGACATCTATTCCATACCTTTACTCAGAAAAGATTTTGAAACTCCATCAACTGATTGTTCTTTTAATGAAGAAAAAACACACTGAAAACTCCGGCTATATGTATCAAACTCATCCATTAAGGCACTTTTGTGAGGCTTCCAATCTTATCTGCAATAGTTTTTCTAAGAGACTAGGTCTCACTGTATTGCCCACGCTGGTCTTGAATTCCTGTTCTCAAATGATCCTCATACCTCAGCCTCCCAAGTAATCTCAAATAGACTATAGGTTCGAACCACTACACCCTACTCGATAATTTAACATTGCCATGATTCTCCTAATTTACAAACCACTTCTGTAACCCATACCCATAGACTCAGAAAAAGAGATGATTAAATTCACAGATAATTTTTTTTTTTTGATACAGTCTCGCTCTATTGCCCAGGCTGGAGTGCAGTGGCGTGATTTCAGCTCACTGCAATCTCCACCTTCCAAGTTCAAGTAATTCTCCTGCCTCAGCTTCCCGAGTGGCTGGGATTACAGGCACCTGCCACCACACCCAGCTAATGTTTTGTATTTTTAGTAGAGACAGGGTTTTGTCATGTTGGCCAAGCTGGTCTCGAACTCCTGGCCTCAAGTAATCCACCCACCTTGGCCTCCCAAAGTGCTGAGATTACAGGCATGAGCCATGGCACCCGGCCCAATTTTTTTTCTTTTTTTTTGAGACAGTCTTTGTTGCCCAGACTAAAGTGCAATGGCACAAACATGGCTTGCTGCAGCTTCGACCTCCTGAGCTCAAACGATCCTCCCACCTCAGCCTCCCAAGTAGCTGAGACCACAGATATGTGCCACCATGCCCAGCTAATTTTTAAATTTTGTAGAGATGGGGTCTTGCCATATTGCCCAGGCTGGTCTCGAACTCCTGGGTTCAAGCAATCCTCCTCCTGACTTGGCCTCCCAAAGTGCTGAAATTACAGACATGAGCCACTGAGCTTGGCCAACAGATAAATTTTAAAACAGCTATTATACACTTGTGGATTTAAAGGAAAGCATGAGAGAGACATGAAAAATATAGAAGAACAGTACACCATACATATACAGATGGTGGGAAGGCAATCTGGCAATATTTAACAAAATTGCAAATGAACATATCCTCTGACCTAGAAATGCAGGCAACTCAAGACAATATAAAAGAATATTCACTGCAGCACTGTGTAAAGCAACCTAATACTGTAAATAACCTACATATCCATCAAAAGGTACTAAACAGACCTTGACACATGGACCAATTTAAAAAGAATGAAAACAACTTATTTGCCTTGCTATTCACCTGATTCTGAATACTGCTACCTGAAAAAAAGCAAGATTTCAAAAAATGTATACTTTACAATAGATATTACCATGTGTGTTTAATTAAAAAGAGGAATTATATGCATATATTTGCATATGCACTGAATATCTATAGATATATAAAGAAATTGAGGGTTTCTTTGCCTTGGTGAAGAGTAACAATACTGGCAGCAATGAAAAGAATTACTTTTCACTGTACATCCTTTTTTACTACATACATGTATCACCTGTTCCAAGAAAGTTTTTTAATCATCTGTGGAACCTATTAAAACATATGTATCTAAAAATAAAATAATCTGGGATTTGCTTTGAAATAATATAGAAGAGGAAAAAGTGGATGGGGATATGGAGAAAATGAAATGAGTCATAAACTGTTATTTACAGAAGCCTGATGATGGGTATATTGGAGTTCATTATGCTATCCTGTCTACTTTTGAATACGCTTATATTTTTCCTTAATGAAAAGTTAAATAAGGGCCAAGCATAGTGGCTCACACTTGTAAAAACACAAAAATTAGCCAGGTGTGGTGGCGCACGCCTGTAATCCCAGCTACTCGGGAGGCTGAGACAGGAGAATCGCTTGAACCCAGGAGGTGGAGGTTGCAGTGAGCCAAGATCGTGCCACTGCACTCCAGCCTGGGCGACAGAGCAAGACTCTGCCTTAAAAAAAAAAAAAAAAAAAAAAAAAAAAAGTCAAATAAGTAAATATACACATAAAACTCTAATCAGAAAGATTTTGATGTGGTAGGTCTGTGATAAGGTCCAGGCATCTGAAAGTGTACAAGCTCCCAGGGCCATGTAGAGTCACACTAAAATCTGAGAACCAATGATCTCGTCTATACAAAAACCACAGGCAAATTCAAGTCCTACCAAATCAGGGCCCCCAAGTCTGAAAAAACAGGATGAAGTGCCAGGGAATCAGATCAATGCACACCACTCTAGGCTAATTCATGCCATGTTAAATTGTGTGAACAGCTGATAACTGACATAGAGAAATTTTTAAAACTGCTGCAATTTCTGGATCCTGCCATTCCTAGCTTTTCTTTCCCAACATGCCAAGCTGGAAGGCAATCAATCAACCCAGGGCTCCAACCAGGGTTTGGACAAAGTGTCATTATCCCTCACCAGCCAATTCCCAGCCACTATGCTCTGTGAACCTATCTCAAAAGGGACTTTAGAAAATAAACACAGATAGGAATATCATGCAAGTTATAGTTCATCAGAAGGCATAGGTGGTGGTGCTGGAGACAGGTATAAAAGACCATAAGAAAAGACCTATAAATTACTTATTAACTTGACCACTGTGACTCCCTGATATATCCAGGTATTAACTCTTTTCCTTCTCCTACCCTCCATCAGACATACTCACGACTTGCTAGTATCTGGTGTTTATGGATTTTACAAAGTACTATATTCCCAGGAGCTGAAGCCCATGGTCCAAAATACTGTTTTAGTACAATACTATTTCCTATTTTTCATTGCAATGTATACTGTGTTGTCCTCTGCAGCTGTATTATTCATGACCCTGCCAATTGTTCTTATCAACTAAGAAACGATGTTTTGAAATACTACCCCTTTGTGAGCTGGAGCTGTCCATAAAATATTACTCAGAGGATAGTGAAGACTCCTATTAGAGCAACCATTAAGCTTTCATTCCTTAGAATTAATAATTTCAGGTTCTTTAACCTACTATGGTCTGAATGTTTGTGTCCCCCCCACCTCCCCTCAGCTCCCCCAGAATTTGTATGTTGAAACTTAACCGCCAAAAGTGATGGTATTAAGAAGTGGGAACTTTGGGAGGTGTAGATCACGAGGGCTCTATCCTCTGAATGGGATTAGTGCTCTTTTACATAAAAGAGGCCTGAGGTAGCTTGTTCACCCCTTCTACCACGTAAGGATACAGCAAAAGGGCGCCATCTTTGAAGGAGGAGAAAGTGAGCCCTCACCACACACCAAATCTGCTGGCACCTTGATCTTGAACTTAGCCTCCAGAGCTGTGAACAATAAGGTTATGCTCTTTAGAAATTACCCAGTCTAAGGGATTTTATTATTGCAGCCCAAATGGACTACCATATACATCTTATTTTTCCAATCCTCTAACAAACTTTAAGTCGCATCTGAACTACTCTATCCAAACTGTTCACATCTTTTTATAATTACCAAACCAGCAATGTAATCAATATTGACACCCATAGTCATGAGTCTGATCATTGCTAACCATAGTGGGCTGTTTCCATCTTTTTTTACTACACATAATATTAGCCCATCTGAAAAGGGAGGGAGAAAACAGAAACAAATACTTTACCAAGTTATATTCAATTTATTTGCCAATATGAAATTTCTGAATTATTTTTGACCAAACTTACATACACTACATATGTAATAGGGTTCTTCTTCTTCTCTTTTTTTTTTTTTTTTTTTTTTTTGAGACAAAGAGTCTCCCTCTGTTGCCTGCGCTGGAGTGCTGGAGTGCAGTAGCGTGATCACAGCTCACTGCAACCTCCGCCTTCCCAGGTTCAAGTGATTCTCGCGCCTCAGCCTCCCAAGTAGCTGGGATTATAGGCATACACCACCATGTCTGGCTAATTTCTGTATTTTTAGTAGAGATGGGGTTTCGCCATGTTGGCCAGGTTGGTCTCAAATTCCTAGCCTCAAGCCATCCACCCACCTCAGCCTCTCAAGTGTTGGGATTACAAGCATGAGCCACCAGGCCTGACTGGGTTCTTCTTTTAAATGTACTTTGATATCACAAATAAATTAAATAAAAGGTAATAATGCCTTGCACTCTCCTTACTCAACTTACTTCTATTTGTTCAAATCTCCATTTTAAAAATCTTTTCCTTTTTAAAAATTGCGGTAAAAATAAATAAAATTTACTATCTTAAATCATTTTTTTTTTCCTTTTTTGAGACGGAGTCTCGCTCTGTCGCCCAGGCTGGAGTGCAGTGGCACGATCTCTGCTCACTGCAAGCTCCACCTCCCGGGTTCACGCCATTCTCCTGCCTCAGCCTTCCGAGTAGCTGGGACTACAGGCGTCCACCACCACGCCCGGCTAATTTTTCGTATTTTTAGTAGAGACGGAGTTTCACCATGTTAGCCAGGATGGTCTCGATCTCCTGACCTCGTGTATCTTAAATCATTTTAAATGTACTGTTCAGTGACATTAAGTACAGTGAGCATGCTAAAAAAACAAAGAAACCAGCAACACCAAGAAACACAAGTAGGTGCTTCTTGACCAACTACCAAGTCCCTCTCCTATTCCTACTTTGGTCTTTACATGGATCCAGTTATTTCTCACAGTTTTCTCTTTCCTCCCTTATCTCAATCAAACCCTGAGATATGAGTTTATGCTCCTATAAACACAGCCCTTCACATTCTGTCCTCAAAATATTGTCCTTCTTTTCCTTTGACCTATCATCTCTTCCTGATTATTTCCCACCACAGCCTGCCAATATTCTTGGCTAAATTCTAGTTCCTCTTTCTAGTAAAATTATAGATAGAAAATTAACACTTTTCTTACATAGCACAAAATGTATTCATAAAGATTTATAATTTTTATTCCTTTTAGTTTAAAATTAGTTATATTTTTAACAAATTAATCATCAACCTCTGACAGAAAGGAGAGGTTTTCTTTAAAGAAGATGTAAAAAACACACACTCTTAGAAGGGAAAATATGACAAATTTGATTTTACTAAAATTTAAAGCTTTCATTCATCAAATGATACCTGAAATAAAGATAAGCCACTGACATAGAGAAGTTATTTGCAATACACGTAACTGAGAAGAGATCTAAAGAAGTCATATTATGTTTGGTAAAACTGAGTAGACAAATGGACAGAAGATATAAACAGACAATTCACAGACAGGAAATACAAGCCAAGTCTTATTTTATGCCATTTTATAGCCACCAAACTGGCAAAAAGAAGTAGGACAACATCCACTGTTGAAGAATAGGGCAACAGGAACTGTTATACAAGGGTAAGAAGTACAATCACTTTTGAGGGCAAAGCTGAAAATGGACATACTCTATAATCCAGCAATTCTTCTCCCAGGTGTATACTCCATCTAGAGAAATTCTCACAAATATGCACAAAGAAACAGGTAAATTAATGTTCACTGCAGCACTATATGTAGTATCAAAATTTCAGAATAATCTAATTGTCAGAAAAGGACTGGATATTGTGGCTTAGTCATAAAATACAAAGCATGCAGTACAAGTGTGGCTCATATCACAATTATTATATATTTATGTACCACAAAAAAAGAAAATATACCAATTGTTAGGTCAAGACATCATCGATTTTAAGATGCATCCCAATTTCAAAGATGTTAAAATGTTAGGAGGAAATGTGCTAGAACTGATGAAGTGCAGCAAAATGAATTAACTGAAATTACATATATCAACGTACATAAATCTCAAAATATAGAACAAAAAAAGTTGCAGAAGAGCATGTATCATTTATTATAAAGTTAACAGAAGACAAAACTATACCATGTTTTATATGTGGTAAAGGTATAAAAACATGCATGGAAATGACAGACATGTCAAGGAAGAAAAGAGAAGGAAGGGACCTCAAATTTATTTTGCACACTGGATGACAGTTGCATAGGAAGTGATTCTATTACTCCCTATACTTTCATAGCCTGGGTTTACATTAATTTTTAAATAAAGAAGGTAAAAAATCTATCAGAGAATAGGAATAACCTATTTTAGTAATTGTTTATTTTTAAATTACAAAAATACAGCCCTGGCATGGTGATTCACACCTGTAATCCCAGCACTTTGGGAGACCGAGGCTGGTGAATCATTTGAGGTCAGGAGTTTGAGATCAGCCTGGCCAACATGATGAAACCCCGTCTCTACTAAAAATACAAAAATTAGCTGGGTGTAGTGGTGCACACCTGTAATCCAGCTACTCAAGAAGTTGAGGCATGGGAATCACTTGAATCCGGAAGGCAGGGGTTGCTGTGAGCCAAGATCATGCCACTGCACTCCAGCCTGGGCAACAGAGTGAGACTCTATCTCAAAAAAAATAAGAATAATAAAATAAAATAAAATTACAAAAATACGATCATTTTAGATATATTTTATTAACATAACCAATCAGCCATACCTTATTTCATTCAGTTGGTAACCATACCAATTTGGTAACCACACCAAAGTGAAGCAGTCACCTGTTCAGTCCGTACAAGCCTAAAATATTTGCCACGTACCCCAAGAAACTAGCTAGAATCTATCTCAGATATGAACGTGATTGTATATCAACTATATATAATGAATATCCAAAAGTTATTTCATAACATTATTTACCATATTAACACTTAAAATATTATTTATTCATAGGCCCTGTCTCAAAAATATGAAAACAAATCCAAATTGAGGAAGAGTCTATAAAATAATGGCAGTATTCTTCAAAAGGTCAATGTCAAATCAACATAAAGACTGAGGAAGTTTTCAGATCACAGATTAAACTAAAGAGATACAACAACTGAACAGTCTTTACTTTATGCAATTAGTTAGAGTTAAAGGGACATGCCTGCAACTTACTCTCAAAAAATTCAGATAAAAACATAATATAGATACAGAGAAAAAAAGGTAAAAGCAAATGCAGTAAAATGTTAACATTTGAATAATCTAGGTGAAAAATACACAGGAATTCTTTGTATTATTCTTGCAGCTTTTCTGTAGGTCTGAATATTTGTCAAAGGATAAGTTAAACAGAAAACAAGAACGAGTGACAGGTATAAAACAATGTCTTTCTTGAACAAGACTCTTCTTCAAGGGTCACTAACTTGTGGATGAACAGCCAAATATGGTAGGCGTAGCCCAGAGCACCCAAAGTCTAGAATTGCCAGGCATATGAAGAGTCCCTAGGATCATCTGCCAGCACTAATTTTAAAAGTAATCATAAGCAGTGAGGGCAAATTTCTTCATTTAAAAGTATTACTTAATTCATAACAGTTTTTAAAGCTGTTGGTCATTATATAACTTCTTCAATCAATAAAGACTAAAAGTAGAACTTCACTATATGATCCAATAAATTCTGACAATTAAAAGGGCTTTTCATTCTTCAAAGGACAGAACCATAGTGCCAGTCTATGCAAGGCTCTATAAATAGAAATTACAAAATAGAACTATATAACAATATGTAGCCAGTAAAAAGGAGTTTCTAGTCAGTTTATTTCATTTCTCAATTACCTTGTTTAAAGTGCATATTTATAAAAGACAAAACAACATGCCATTTAAAAAAAAAAGGCAGGAGACACTAGACAATAAGTTGGTAGTATGAACAGTAAATGAGTTTAATTCTTCATTGGTTAACTAGGTGTCAATATTTTAAATACCTCTATTATTTTAGAAGATTATTTTTACCAGCATTCAATCCAGGAAATAATACTAAACCATTTCATTGGCTGGGCACAGTGGCTTACACCTGTAATCCCAGCACTTTGGGAGGCTGAGGCGGGCGGATCACGAGGTCAGGAGTTCAAGACCCACCTGACCAGTATGTTGAAACCCCACCTCTACTAAAAATACAAAAATTAGCTAGGCATGGTGGCACGCAACTGCAATCCCAGCTACTCAGGAGGCTGAGGCAGGAGAATCACTTGAGCTCGAGAGGCGGAGGCTGCAGTGACTCAAGATCACGCCACTGCATTCCAGCCTGGGTGACAGAGCAAGACTCCATCTCAAAAAAAAAAAATTGTGTCTACCATTTCATATAAGAAACAACCACCATACATTGTAAAACTTAATAAACTAAACCTGCTGTCTGAGGTGCCTACAGAACATTTATTTTGAAAATACTAAAGTCTTGGGTATTTTCCAGCAGTATTGTGAACAAAGCATCTAGAGAATGTGTTGACTATAACACAAATCAGCATGTTAAATAACAAGCTTCATCTGACTTAGCAAAATGTTCCAACATTTGGAACAGAAAATGACCTGTTGGACATTTCAAAGCTGCTAGAAATCACCCTGCCAGTACAAATCTTTAACAAGGCTAGAAAAGAGCTAATTAATTCAAAAAAATTACACAAGGATTACTCTTACTAAGCAGATAATTCTCTAGATTTTTAAAAGCTATATAAAATAAAAAATCAGAAATGGAAACCCTGACAGAAAGGTTGACTAAAGACAAAAAGTTTACCTGAAGTTCCCTCTTTCTTGATGTAAACTTAAGATTAATAACTCAAATTCAGCTTATATAACTTAAGTACTAAAGAAAAATTTTTACTTAAATTCTTCATACAACGCCCAATATCTACCAATGAGCTATTAGAAAGAGTAAACAGTTTTTTAAGTTTGGGTTATGAACAACTCCCTTAATAGAAAGCCAAATGTATTGCTTTCTACTTTATAGGAAAATCTGTCTCAAAAGAACCACCACAAAACTTTTATTTCTTATGAAAATCTATGTAACTTTCAGACAAAGATAAATACAAAATATTAAAGATTAAGAAGGCAAAGGTCAAATGATTCCTACAAGATCACCTGACATCATCTCCCTTTAAAACAACTCAACAGGTAAACTGGAATCCTAGATTAATAATTTGACCGAATGCCCACTGCTGACAGCAATAAAAAGGAAAAAATCTGCCAACAAATAAGATTTTTGTATGAGATAATGATTCAAAGCTCTAAATGAACATGTAGAGAACCAAAGGTCAGGTTCTATAAAACTTTTCAAAAGTATGGTTTACCTTAAACAACCTTAAGATTCTCATCACTATATTCACACCTGAAAGAGAACTATCACTCTACAGTAATGTAAATCACACAAGAATGAAAATTCTAAAAACCAACAGAATGAGAACAGTGGCTACCATCTCCTTTGCCAGACACATAACAGTTTTTCAGTTGTAAGAGCTGAAAAGATAAATATTTAACTGCATAAGCTTGAGTATAGTACTTTCAGTTATTTACAGCTGCATAAGCTTGAGTATAGTACTTTCAGTTTTTAAAAATCTTTATGAAAGACATTGTGGGGCCTGGAAAAAATAAGTTGAATAGAAAAGTCAACTGTTTCTATTTTCCAAATTCTATTAAGATCCTATAGGGTCCTAATATGCCTTATACTGCTAAATTCAAAGTATTTTTTTAATTTCTACAATTATGTTTTCTTTCTACTCAGGCTGTAGTTGCCAGACATTCCACTTTATATAAATGCCCTTTTTAAGGAATTTTGCAAAGTATTGTCCAAAATCTTCTTTTTTTTTTTTTTTTTTTTTTTTTTGTGGAGACAGAGTCTCACTCTGTCGCCCAGGCTGGAGGTGCAGTGGCGTGATCTCGGCTCACTGCAAGCTCCGCCTCCCAGGTTCACGCCATTCTCCTGCCTCAGCCTCCCGAGTAGCTGGGACTACAGGTGCCCGCCACCACACGCCTGGCTAATTTCTTTTTGTATTGTTAGTACAGACGGGGTTTCACCGTGTTAGCCAGGATGGTCTTGATCTCCTGACCTCGTGATCTGCCCGCCTCGGCCTCCCAAAGTGCTGGGATTACAGGCGTAAGCCACCGCACCCAGCCCAAAGCCTTTCTAATGTGGAAATACTCTTTTTAATTTTCAAAGTTTAACTGTCACTTATATCTTGTCAACTGAGGATGGCCCTTTACAATGGCTTCAGGAAACTCTCTGGTATCAAGTCGGAAACAATAGGGAGGCGTAGGCAGGAGGATCATTTGAGCCCAAGAGTTTAAGATCATCCTGGGCAAGATGGCAAGACCCCATCTCTATTTAAAAAAAAAAATTAGCCAGGCACGGTGACACACACCTATAGTCCCAGCTACTTGGGAGGATGCCTTGAGCCCAGGAGTTTGAGGTTGCTTGGCTGTGATAGTGCCTACCACTGCACTCTAGCCTGGGTGACAAAGCAAGACCTCATCTCGACAGGGGACAGGAGGGAACGGGAGGGGAGGGGAGGAAGAAAGAGGGAGGGAGGGAGGGAAGGAAGGAAGGAGGGAGGGAGGGGGAGGGAGGAGGGAGGGAGGGAGAGAAGGAGGAAAGGCCGAGATTGCACCACTGCACTTCAGCCTCGGCAACAGAATGAGACTTCATCAAAAAGAAAGAAAAAAGAATAAAGGAAAAAGGAAAAGGGAAGGGAAGGGAAAGGAAAAAAGGAAAAAGGAAAGAAAAAAGGAAAAAGGAAAGGAGAAAGATCTCTCTCATTCTTATGACAACTTTGAGGAAGGTGATACAGCAGAAACTTGCAACAGGTCTCCTTAGGAAAGCCAGAAAAACTAAAGAACAGCAATGTAATTTACAAACATCTAAAGAGTTAAGAAAACAAGCAGCTTCTCAAGACAGTACCCACAAAGAAACGACATTGAATTATTATTATTTTTTTTTTTTGGAGACGGAGTCTTACTCTGTCGCCCAGGCTAGAGTGTAGTGGCGCGATCTCGGCTCACTGCAACCTCCACCACCCATGTTCAAGCGATTCTCCTGCCTCAGCCTCCTGAGTAGCTGGGATTACAGGCACCTGCCACCACGCCCAGCTAATCTTTCGAATTTTTAGTAGAGATGGGGTTTCACCATGTTGGCCAGGCTGGTCTCTAACTCCTGATCTCAAGTGATCCACCTGCCTCGGCCTCCCAAAGTGCTGGGATTACAGGCGTGAGCCACTGCACCCGGCCACGACATTGAATTCTTAAAAATCTATTACAACTGCTTCTATCTGGCCCTAACTACATCTAATCATTAACTTTAAGTGACACATTTTTTGAGTTGCTTATAAGCTGTGCATTAAAACCACAAATTTAGATAGACTTAGCAAGGCTACATATTTATTTTTCTTCCACTGAAAGTGTCATAGAAAAACAGATTTTTTCTTTATGTTAGTGTAAAAAGTCACACTATCAATGCATGACACTAAAAACCATACATATCAGAACTATAATGATAATGATAAAAATAGTTTTCTTCATAATTATCTGGCTGAAGAGATTTTTTTAAATACACCATCAATGTATAAAAAAGAAAGATATTAAGAAAGTTTAAATTTAAGTTGCATATGTAACTAACAGCTAACACATTTTAAGTTTAAAATTAAGTAGCCATTGATCCCATAAATAAAAATGTGCTTCCTCATTAGACTGAAAATGGCTGCAAAGTAGTTACAGTTTACTGATTAGAAATCTATTCTCAAATAGTAACTAAAATTGACTTTATTTATTTATTTATTTTGAGACAGGGTCTTGCTCTGTTGCCCAGGCTGGAATGCAGTGGCACAATCATGCCTCACTGCATCCTAGACCACCAGGGCTCAAGTGATCCTTTCACTTCAACCTCCCTGGTAGCTGTGATTACAGGCTCATGCCACCACACCCGGTTAATTTTTTGTATTTTTGTTAGGATGAGGTCTCACCATGGCTGGTCTCAAACTCTTGGGCTCAAGCAATGTGCCCACCTTGGCCTCTCAAAGTGCTGAGATTACAGTCGTGAGTCACCACACCCAGCCACCATTTTTTAGGCATTTGCACAAGAAACTAGATAGAATCTCAGATATGAAAATAATGATTGCATATTCACTATACATGATGAAATACGCCAAAACATTTATATCATTATTTATCATATTAACAAACACTTAGAATGCTATTTATTCATAGAACCTTGCAATTTGAGTGAATAAAAATTACCACTAAGGCAGTATCATTTACCTGGAATCATACTGCTAGGAATTGGTATACTAGACTAATATAAAACTTAAAGTATTTTGCCATAAAATCATGAAAAGATATATCATTCACATTAACAAGAGGTTAAATTTCAGTATAGCAATCATTTTGAAGTTATTCAATTACTATAAAATTACAAAATATTCAGGGAAAAGAACCTAATTCCTTCAAGTCAGTTAAATGTTTTATCATATGCTTAAAATTAAAATACATGATAACTGGATATAACAATGTTTCCTCTTATTCTTTTTCTTATCACATTTTTTATTCTTTTTTTAATTAGAGACAGGGTTTCACCATGTTGCCCAGGCTGGTCTTGCACTCCTGTGCAAAAGTGATCCACCTACCTCAGCCTCCTAAAGTGCTGGGATTATAGGCATGAGCTACCACACCCAGACTCTAATCAACTATTATTATTTTAAATAGCAGCGTAATGTTCTATCCTATGTGCATATCATAATTTGCTGGACTGCTTTTTTTCCAATTTTTTTCACTGTTCATATAAAGTTGTAATAAGCAGTTTCATACAGTTGTTACACATTCTTTCTTTTTAATATCTTATTTTTACTGTAAGTTTTCATACATTCTCAATTTTCTTAGCCGGGCGTGGTGGCAGGCGCCTGTAATCCCAGCTACTTGGGAGGCTGAGGCAAGAGAATTGCTTGAACCCAGGAGGCGGAAGTTGCAGTGAGCCAAGATCGTGCCATTGCACTACAGCCTGGGTGACAGACTCCGTCTCAAAAAAACAATAAATAAATAAATAAATAAGGTTTCAAACATAAACAAAAGGCAGGCCAGGCATGGTGGCTCACGCCTGTAATCCCAGCACTTCAGGAGGATGAGGCAGGTGGATCACCTGAGGGTCAGGAGTTTGAGACCGGCCTGGCTAACATGGTGAAACCCCATTTCTACTGCAAATACAAAAAATTAGCCAGGCGTCATGGCATGTGCCTGTAATCCCAGCTACTCGGGAAGCTGAGGCAGAGGAATCACTTTCACCTGAGATTCAGAGGTTGCAGTGAGCCAAGGTCACGCCACTGTACTCCAGCTTGGGCAACGAAAGCGAAACTGTCTTAAAAAAATAATAAAAAACCATATACAGGTATACACACACACACACAGGGCAATAGAAATGAGGATGCTAGATAGGGAATCCAGGCAAAGGATTTAGAAATAAGGTAATTCTGAGGTACCTGTAAGGGAAAAATATGGAAATGAATAGGAGGTTCAAAATATGGGTTGAAAGCTAAGAACTGAGTAGGGGACACTGTAAACAATTATCTGAAGGAATACATAAACTATAAATAAAAAAAATACAGGGGAGCTTAGTAGGAGCAATCTCATTAAAGTGGCATAGACAGAACTATACTGCCAAAGGCTATGAAGTGAACAGAAATCCAAGTAGAGGCCAGAGAACACATTTAAGAAGTTTAGAAGAAACAGAAAAAGAAACAGAGGACCCTAGACTTGAAGAGGCACAATTAAAAGATGGTTGCTTAAGATCTCAGATACTTGGGCATGTTAAAAAGCTGAAGGAAAAAGAGTCAATGTTGTACACAATAAATATATATAATTTTACCTGTCAAAAAAAAAGCAGGAAAAAAAACAGAACTTTAAGTTTTTGGACAAGCTCCAGATGTTGAAAAACACAATTCTGGATGAAGCCCACATGGAAAATAGTGAGTAATCTTGGGGGAATGAAGAGATGTTTCTTTCCTTGAGAGAGGAGTGAAATCCCAAAGTGTGTACTGTTGGAATTAAGTCCAGAGGTAAAGGGTTGGAAATCTGGGAGAAGGTCATACCTACTGACCTTTATCAAGGAAAGCGACTCATCTGTTAGAAGTAAAAAAAGAGGCAGGAATAAAGGAGGGTTTTGAGAAGCTAAGTTTGTCGATGACATGTTCACAACTGCTTGGTCAGGTACCTGCCAAGCTATGCAATAAAGATGCTACACGTTGATTAAGGTATGTAAGTTGAGTATCATATGTCTGTATTTGACTCCTTTTATAATAGTAATATATTTGTTTTCCAACATCTATTATACACTTTAGGGAACATAAAAACAGGTAAGAGCATGGTCCCTAAACTTAAGGAACAGTTCAGATACGATTTCATATTTTTAAATGAAAGTATAACATTCCCAAAAATGTTATATATTAACTTCTAATAGGTTAGGAAGTTGAGGTATTTCATTTTCTTCCAATAGAATTAATGCAAAATCATTTCAAGCTAGATAGACCTTCAGATGTAAGATACTTTAAGGAGATTTCAGATTTTGAGATACTTTAAGGAGAAATTATAGAGTGGCCACTAGAAATAGTTTCAGAAATGCCACACTAGGCTTAGAGAAGGCAACTCATAAGGCAAACACTCCCGAAAATTTTCTGTTCAAGGCTACTGGCAATTAATCATGTCATCATACCAAACACCTTTTCATACAAGATTCTTTTTTTAATTTTTTTTTTTTTTTTTTTTTTTTTGGTGACGGAGTCTTACTCTGTTGTCCAAGGTGCAATGCAGTGGTGCAATTCTAGCTCACTGCAGCCTCTAACTCCTAGGTTCAAATGATCTTTCTGTCTCAGTCTCCCGAGTGGCTAGGACTACAGGTATGCACCACCTCACTCAGGTAATTGTATTTTTTATAGAGATGGAGTCTCACTATATACCCAGGCTGGTCTTGAACTCCTGGCTTCAAGCAATCCTCCCACTTCAGCCTCCTAAAGTGCTAGGATTACAGGCTTGAGCCACTACACCCGGCCCAGAATTCAATTTTAAATACACATGTATAAAATATCAAAATGTTGCCAAATTGTCAAATTTAATTAAGAATACTGTTTTTTGTTTGTTTGCTTATTTGTTTTTGAGATGGAGTTTCACTCATCTCCCAAGCTGGAGTGCAGTGGCACCATCTTGGCTCACTGTAACATCCGCCTCCTGGGTTCAAGCAATTCTCCTGCCTCAGGCTCCGGAGCAGCTGAGATTACAGGCGCCCACCACCACACCCGTCTGATTTTTGTATTTTTAGTAGAGATGGGGTTTCACCATGTTGGTCCGGCTGGTCTTGAACTCCTGAGCTCAGGTGGTCTGCCGGCCTCAGTCTCTCAAAATACTGGGATTAAAGGTTTGAGCCACCAAGCTTGGCCAAGAATACTGTATTATATACAATTATACTAGGAGCCAAACAATAAAATACTTGCCATTTTCACATCTCTGCTTTTAAGGACTCCAAGTTAAACACTTTTAAGTTACATAAATGAAATACAAAAATAATATTCCGGCCGGGTACGGTGGCTCATGCCTGTAATCCCAGCACTTTGGGAGGCCGAGGCGGGCGGATCACGAGGTCAGGAGATGGAGACCAGCCGGGCTAACACAGTGAAACCCCATCTCTACTAAAAATACAAAAAGATTTTAGCTGGGCGTGGTGGCGGGAGCCTAGTCCCAGCTACTCAGGAGGCCAAGGCGGGAGAAGGGCGTGAACCTGGGAGGCAGAGCTTGCAGTGAGCCGAGATCACGCCACTGCACTCCAGCCTGGGGGACAGAGCGAGACTCCGTCTCAAAAAAAAAAATAATAATAATAATAATATTCCTTTTGTGTAGTGGTTTCAAGTAAGTTACAGCTAGCAGGTTCAACATTCTTAAAAATACCTTGTAATGTGCGCCGGGCACAGTGGCTCACGCCTGTAATCCCAACACTTTGGGAGGCAAAGGTGGGCGGATCACCTGAGGTCAGGAGTTCCAAACCAGCCTGACCAACATGGTGAAACCCCGTCTCTACTAAAAATACAAAAATTAGCCGGGCGTGGTGGCAGTTGCCTGTAATCTCAAGGCTGAGGCAGGAGAATCGCTTGAACCCAGGAGGCAGAGGTTGCAGTGAGCCCAGATCGCGCCACTGCACTCTAGCCTGGGGGACAGAGCAAGACCCCGTCTCAAAAAAAAAAAACAAAAAGCTGGAAATGTTTTCGCCTTTTGTTTACTTTCCACAGGTTGGCATAGGAATGAGGTTTAAAGGGCTCTACATTCTAAATTTAGGAGAAAGGAAATATGGCTAGAAAGGGCAAGCCTAATAGAATTCCCTCAGGCAATGTGAAAACTGTACAGGTCCAGAAGAAAAAACCACGAGAAAACAAGAGAACTGTATTACTAGCCACATCTGAGAAATATGACCTTCTTTTATTTAAATTAACATACAGTTTATCTCTATAAGATACTTCAACTATAAAACTGATTAGCCTTAATGAAAACACTTGTCACAAGATAAAACTGGTAATATTTTTTTCCATCAGGACTTGGCAAAGTTTAAAAAAAAATGAATAAAGTTAAAAATTAGGGTTTTTTGGTTTTTTGTTTGTTTGTTTTTGAGATAAGGTCTCACTCTGTCTCCAAGGCTACAGTGCAGTGGCGCAATCATGGTTTACTTACTGCAGCATCGACCTCCCTGGGCTCAGGCAATCCTCCCACCTCAGCCTCTCCAATAGCTAGGACCACAAGCATGCACCACCATGCCTGAATAACTTTTGTATTTTCTTTGTTTTTCGGTAGGAAAAGGTTTCTGCATGTTGCACAAGCTGGTCTCAGACTCCTGGCCTCAAGGGATCCACCCACTTCAGCCTCCCAGAGTGCTGGGATTACAGAAGTGTTCATATTTTTCAATGACTTATTTTGATTTTACCCACTGCAAGAACAGCAGTGAATAACACACAACTTTAACATGAATGCTACTATTTTAATATCATTTATTTAAATATTTCATTTTAATAAAGTAAACAGCCTAGAAGTTTGAATGTGCTATTGTTAATCATTTTTCTTAAGCAGTGTTTTTCTAACTTAGGTGCACATATACAAATATAAAAGAAAATTTACAGTATTCAGCTAATTTCACTTATCATATACTTGCTCAAAGCTGGGACCACGTGTTAGTCTCTTCGTTCACTGCACAGTACCTTGCACTTAGTGGACGTTCAAATATATACTAGATAAAATAGGTTTGTTTTCTTTTTTTTTTTTTTTTTTGAGATGGAGTCTCACTCTGTCGCCCAGGCTCACTGCAAACTCCACCTCCCGGGTTCACGCCATTCTCCTGCCTCAGCCTCCCGAGTAGCTGGGACTACAGGTGCCCACCACCACACCCAGCTAATTTTTTTGTTTTTAGTAGAGTCTGGGTTTCACCATGTTAGCCAGGATGGTCTCGACCTCCTGACCTCATGACCCACCCGCCTCGGCCTCCCCAAGTACTGGGATTACAGGCGTGAGCCACCGTGCCCGGCCCATTTTGCTTTTTTTTTTTTTTTTTTTTTTTGAGACAAGGTCTCACTCCATCACTCAAGCTGGATTGCAGTGGTACGATCTTAGCTCACTGCAGCCTCGACCTCCTGGGCTCAAGTAATCTCGCACCTCAGCCTCCCCAGTAGCTGGGGCTACAGGTGCACACCACCATGCCCAGCTAGTTTTTGTATTTTTTGTAGAGATGGGGTTTCACCATGTTGCCCCGTCTGGTCTTGAACTCCTGTGCTCAAGCGATCCACACACCACAGCCTCCCAAAGTGCTGGGATTACAGGCATGAGCCACCGTGCCTGGCCAATAAGATAAATAGTTTTCATACAAATATTTTATCATTACCCGTCATAATAAAATTTCTATCTTTTTTGTGGCCACAGTCTGTGATCAGCTACAAAAAATATTTAAAGCACATTAAACAATGATTACAAATCCACTATTTTTGAACCCAATATTATTCTTACCTAACTTTAAAATACAAAACTACAACCAATATACTGCAGAGACATCTTACTGTCTCCATTGAAAATGTCTTATTAGAAGTTGGCCCAAAACATTCTTATTTGGCTTTGAGAATATAGCACAGCATCATAGCTATAGGTTATATAGCAGCATAACCTGTAATTTTCATTGTGATTTTATGTCACTACACCCTATTTAAACTCAATAGAAAGTGTAATAAATTACATACCTAGAGCCTTCAGAAGTATTAATTTAAGTCATTCTTTGGAAGAAATGTCTAGAAAGTCAGGTTCAGTTTTCAATGTTATCACTCTAATCTATCTCATTAACTATTTAAAACTGTAGCATTATATATCTAAAGTTGTATAGTTTACCAAACCTACCAGACTCTCTGTATTATTAAAGAGATAACATGTAATTGAAATATGCTTTTAAAAAGTTGAAACAGATTTTAAAATTGGCACTTTTAGGCCTTTATATGCCAATTTATAGGGTAGGAAATATTTAATAAGCAAAGTTATATCCTGCAAATGTTTTCAAGTTCACTATTTTGTTTTTAAAAACTCTAAAATATTTTGTATGCTTATAAATAATATACAACCAAGTAGGGGGAAGTTAAAGAATTTGAAATAAACATTTTTTGTTTTTAGCAAATCAAATACTTTCTAAAATTTCCACAGTAAAATAACTGTCTAGCCAAATACAGCCAAGTTTTTATTTTCTAGCATCCTTAAGACAATTTTCTTGGTAATCCATATTAAATCAAATATAATTTATAAAAGCTACAAAATGTTTAGGGTGAGGAGCTCGCCTCATACTCTATTGATTTCAATGCCTATCAAATCTAAACTGTTTTTTTTCCAACTAGATTAGAAATGGAAAAGTTTCTGATCTTGGAACTTGCCTGATCTTGGAGGCTAAGCAGGGTCAGACCTCATCAGTACTTGGATGGGAAAAGGTGTTCCAGCATAAACAATTACTCAAAATAAAAAGAAATTCTATCTCACCAGCCTTGGCAATCCTTTGCGTTCAACATGATCAAGAATTATATGAAAGAATAAGTCTTTCACAACTTAGAAGTACAGCTCAAATGAGCAAATACTACATTTTCCTTTATTATGCTTCTCTAAATATCCACTTTAAGTGTGACCTTTTTGTTTAAAAAAAAAAAAGACAAGGTTAGCAGCGAAGAAAATGCAAGGTAAAAGTGTACCTAGAAATCTAGTCTTTAAGAGATATTTATCTCAGAAGAAGGTGAAAAGGACTGTGTGACAGACATAGATATCAGAAGTCTGAGTTTTAATTCATACATGATGTATCTTAGTTTTATTTTTTAAGATCTCCAGAAACTAAAAGGATATATCCTATAACTCAAACTCATTTTAACAGCAATATTATGTTCTATAGTCTTCACACTTGCAGCTTCAGATTAGTCCTGGAACATAAGACTTTTTTTTGTTTTAATTGTAGAAAAAGCTTATCTTCCCCAAACTCCACCTTAAGGAAAAGTCTCTCAGATTGAAGAAACAAAAGACAGAAAGAGGAAGGGGTTGGGGGAGGGATTTTAAAAACTGAGGTCAAGGATGATAAACAGAGATGCTATTATTTCACAAGACTGATCACTTAGCAGGCTACTGACTTAATCTTTCCCTCAAGCTATTACAATTTTTCACTAAGTGAACTCTGGGCTCCAGCAACTTGGACATTTAAAATCATAGCAGCCAGGCGCGGTGGCTTACTGTAATCCCAGCACTTTGGGAGGCCAAGGTGGGCAGATCACTTGAGGCCAGGAGTTTGAGACCACCCTGGACAACATGGCAACATCCCATCTCTACTAAAAATACAAAAATTAGCCAGGTGTGGTGGCAGGCACCTGCAATCCCAGCTACTCAGGAGGCTGAGACATGAGAATCACTTGAACCCCGGAGGCGGAGGTTGTAGTGAGCCAAGATCGCACCACTGCACTCCAGCCTGGTGACAGAGCGAGGCCCTGTCTCAAAAATTAATTAATTAATTAAAGCAGATTTCAGTCTCTCAAATCCAATTAAACCAAGCTCTTCTCCCTTCTACTGTCCAGTCTCCCCTGCCTCACCACCCACTCTCCCACTCAGTCTCCTACAGAATGGGAAAGGTCTCATTATTTTAGAAAATTAGAGAAATTGGGCCGGGCACAGTGGCTCATGCCTGTGATCCCAGCACTTTGGGAGGCCAAGGCAGAAGGATCGCTTGGGCCCAGGAGTTCAAGACCAGCCAGAGCAACAAAGCACAACCCCGTCTCTACAAAAAATGAAAAAATTCAAGGTGTCAGCAAGACCATGTTAGAAAGACAGAAAAAGAAATGAAAAAGTTAGCAGACATGGTGGCGATACCTCCTGTAGTCTCAGCTATTTGGAGACTGAGGCAGAAGGATCTCCTGAGCTCAGGAGGTTGAGGCTGCAGTGAGCTATGATCATACCACTATACTCCAGCCCAGGCCATGGAGCAAAACCCTGTCTGTAAATGAAAAAAATAAATACAAAAATAGAAAAAATAAATATAAAAAGAGAAAAGAACAAATATAAAAATTAGAGAAATTAGTTTAAAGTAACAAAATACATTTAAGGTCAAAAATATGGTCCTCAGTTTGCTCCATTTCAAGGACTTTCTGTTGAAAAGAGCCTTCTCAAGTACTAACTTGGCATTAACTGCCAAATATAAAAGACAAAATAAATCTGCTTAATAACTTAACTGTCTCCAAACCACAAATGCTGTCCTAAAAATACAATACATATTGACAATATTCATCCAGTTGTTTTAATTTCCACACAGTAAGAACAGAGGCTCTAGGTCCCTGGCATAACAGTGGTGTCTCAGAATCCAGACAATATGCTGCCTTTGTTTAGTAACATATGTTCCAAGTATCAACTGAGAACAGCCTGGTCTGCCAAAAAGCTCAAGGTTTCATTTGACAAACTTATAAATGTGTAACATACATCCTCCAAATATCTATTCTATCTTTGTCCTACAAGTGACTAAGACAAGGTCCCAAAGAACATCTATGGCAAAGCTACAGAAGCAGCACACTAATATTAAGTTGTTCTTCCTCCAAACCACTCTTAACTACATACCAAGCCAACCAAAAGAAGTGACATTCTTCCTTAAGTAGGCCACATAAGTACTGACTATCCTAAAAGCCTCCACTGACTCAGTACTTCTCCAAATATATATTCTTAATATAAGGTGCTTAAGTATTAGGCAAGATATATATTTTTAAGCAGCTGGATCCAGAACCAGTTAGGACATTTAAAATAATTCCTTTACACATGAACAGACACTCTTCAAAAGACATACGTGTGGCCAACAAGCACATGAAAAAAAGGTTATCACTGATCATTACAGAAATGCAAATCAAAACCATGAGATACCATCTCACACCAGTCAGAGTGGCTATTATTAAAAGTCAAAAAATAACAGATGCTGATGAGGTTGCAGAGAAAAGGGGAGGCTGATACACTGTTGGTGGGAATGTAAATTAGTTCAGCCACTGTGGAAAGCAGTGTGGTGACTCCTCAAAGAGCTAAAAACAGAACTACCATTGGACCCAGCAATCCCATTACTGGGTATATATCCAAAGAAATATACATTGTTTTATCATAAAGACACATGCATGTATATGTTCACTGTAACACTATTCACAAGGGCAAAGACATGGAATCAACCTAAATGTTCATCAATGGGAAGACTCGATTTTTTAAAAATATGCTACATATGTACCATGGAATACTATGCAGCCATAAAAAAAGAATGATGTCATGTCCTTTGCAGGAACATGGATGGGGCTGGAGGCCATCATCCTTAATAAATAATGCAGGAACAGAAAACCAAATACCACACATTCTCACTTATAAGTGGAAGCTAAATGATGAGAACACATGGACACAAAGAGGGGAACAACAGACACTGGGACCTACCAGATGGTGGAGGATGAGAGGAGGGAGAAGAGCAGAAAAAATAACTATTGGGCACTAGGCTTAGTCCCTGAGTGACAAAATAATCCGTACATCAAACACACATGACACAAGTTTACCTATATAACAAACCTGCACATGCTCCCCTGAACCTAAAAGTTTAAAAAGAAAAAAAAATACATATATATTTATATATAATATATATTTTATATAATGTATTATATATATTTATATAATATATTTTATATTTTATATATAATATATATTTTATGTATATATATATACATATAATCCCTTTAGACTTACACCGGTATCACAAAAGATTCTCCATGACAAAGCTTTCAGCAAGTTAAAAAAGAGAAATACTACATCCCAGTGAAAAGTGTTGGGGGGGAATAATACCTTTTAAAAAATAAACACACTGATAGAGTCATCCATTTTAACAAAGTTTTAGTAGTTTGTCTTCAGAAGTAACTTCCAAGTTAAACATACTACATTGGGAGTCTCAACTTTGGACATCAGAAAACCAGGACAGCTACAACACGAATATTTATTTTGGCAACAATAAATCAAGTTATTCTGTGTCCTCTAAGAGTTAAGAGTCAGGAATAACAACTTCTGGAAGGATATTTAAATATGGAGAATTTCCTTAGAATATCTTTGAATCTAAATATTACCATGACATCTTTTCATCTCCAAACTTAAATGTGAGGTTCCAATGGGAACTACATTTTTATGCCTTTGAATTAACCACCAATAGTGCAATTCTAATTTACCTTATCATCATACTTGGTAAACTGTTGCTATGAAAATAACATTTAATAAGTTAACTCTCTTACCTGGTAAAATAAAGTTAACTTCAAAAGTTACCAGGATAAGTCGTACTAGCATTCAAATAAAAAATAACATGCAAACAAGCATTCCATGAAATGGATGTGAATCAGGTCTGAAAAATAATATTGCGGCATTCTGAAATTTACATTTTCCCTTTCCTCCTTTCCATATGCTTTCAGGTTCATGCATCAAATATTAAAAACAAAAGTTCAATCAAAAAATTAATTTGATAGCTGCTGCTTTTTTAAGTTGCAGGGGGTGCAGGGAGGCTCTCCATATCTTGCATTAAACATAAAAACCTATGTGCCCACGCCATACTTGCAACAGCAACCTACGTCTGTAATTTACACCCTATTTTATGGTATCCAAAAAGTTAAGAGTATGATCTACAGCTTCTTTTCAAACATGTTTACAAGAAGAAGTATCTCATATAAACCATCCATTTTAATGTGACTCTAAAATCCCATGCCCAAAAGCCAATGACCAGTTTATAAGCAAGGTAATGACTAGTTCAATGGAAAATATATTTTGACAATAAACTAAGTAAGGCTGACTTATCATGTTATGATCTGCTTGCCTAATATGTATGTTTAGCTACTGTAGTCAGCAATGCCCAAATATAAAGTTGAAACATTTAATGGCCAGTTCTGTTCTAGATTTCAAACTCATCTTACTTTTTTACAACAGTTTTAATCTAAGGTTCTCCACAAATACTTTTTTCTTAGAAAAGAGATCCCCTTGGGGCGGGGGGCGGGAGGCAGAGGGGGGGATTAAGGAACAAATTTTTCCATAAGTACAAAAAAAAAAAGACATGCCCAAACATCACAAATATTTCAACACATCTCTGCCTTAACATAAATTTTAAATAAGTAAATTTCAAAAAAGAAAAATCTCAAACAGGTTAAGCATTATAGTTCAGAAATAAAAGTCCTCTACACTTTATGAATGCAGCCATAAATACACCAAGAAATATTTCATTGACTTAAAACTAAATAACTGTATCTGGCTGGTAAAATTGCAATTACTGATAAGTGGCACGAAAGCATAAGATAATCAATAAAACTATGAAAACTTTTTTTACAAAAGGTCAGTCATATTTTGTTTACTTAAAATACTAAGTTTAATCATGACCTATCTAAACCTTATCATTGCTCATTGTATAAAATTAGCACTGCACTTGCAAACATAAGCAGAATCTAGACTTATCAAACATATGGTGAGACTTCACCAGCTTCTGAAAAATTAAATAATATAGGATTAAAATGTCTTAGTTGGGTAAGCAGTAACCACCGTTACGGCTCAAGACTTTTCATCAAAAATTTGATCAGAAAGGAAACCTCTTTAAAAATTTTAAAGAGCCCAGCAACTAAAACTTTGAAATTAACTGAGATGGTTTGAATGAATATAAGTACTCCCACTTCAGAAGCTACAGCTAAAAGCAAATACCTAAAATAGCAAAAAGGGAAAAAGTGTCAGCAGATCTCCAAACTACTAGAAAGTACGCAAAAGCACACGCAGACTGGTTTGCCAGCTAACTTTTCCGGCCCTGTACCAGACAGACATCAAAACAAAGTTTACAATAGAGCCAACCATGCGCTTTCCCTCTAAACTGGACGATAAACTGAAATTTTTTGCTGTTGCTAATAGAAGCCCCTTATTATAATTAGAAGCAGCCAACTGACAGGTGGAAAAACAAATTCCCTAACAGGGCAGTAAGAGGTTGTGAAAACACGGTTCAAGGCCTGAACGTGTTACGACTACTCTGTAACAAGTCCAAGGTAATTTACGCACACACTCTTCAGCGCAATTCCTCAAGCAGAGATGAGACGGGAACAACAGGATTCCCCGAGAGCCACATACCATTTTACAACAGCCGTCTCCCTCCCGACAGAGAAACAGACATTTTCATCCAAAGTCTTTCCGCCAGTTCTCCCAGTGCGGCGAAGGGAAGCGGGCGGCAGCCACCGTAACGAGAGAAGCCGGCAACAGCCCCGCCGCGCGGCCGCCACGCCTTCCTCCCGCCGCCGCTGGGGACGCGGAGCCGCGGATCACATTTCTCCTCCCCAACAATCACACACACGCACGCACGTCCCCAGAGTTGACACCCTGCAAACCCGCTGCTCCGCGACGCTGGGGACGGGGCCACAAAGCCCGGGACGCGGCCATCGGCTGGGGTGCTCAAGCTGCGTGCCTGCGCGTTTGTTTGTTCCCCTTAATGAAAGGAAAGGGATCTCCGTAGTTACGGCCTAGGACTGCGGAGGGGGAAGAGAGGCTCCCCGTGGGACTAAACAAAACTTCGGTTGCTGGGAAGAGCCGTTGCGCAACCTTGGCAGGGGGAGGGGGGGCCGAGGCCCCCGGGCCCCGGCCAGGCGCGGCTTCCCGGAGGCTACGGCCCCCGCGTCCGGCGGCCCAGGGCCTGGCGTGGCGCCGGCTTCGAGGGAGCGGCTCATACCGGGCCACACTGCAGGGGCTAGGGCGGAAACTGGGAGCACGAGAGCGCTGGGGATGCGGATGGGGCACGGGACGCGCAATGAGTGCGGGCTGCGCCGGAGGTGTCGGGCCAGGCCCGGGTCAGGCTTGGGGTCCGCTGGCCGCGGAGCCCGCAGACGGAGCCGATCCCCCCACCCCGGGGTGGCGGCGCCCCTCGCTCGACTCCCTTACCTTCCTAGAGGCCCGCGCTCTCTCCTCTTCGGGCGGCCGCAGCCCTGAGCATGTCCGGGGTGGGGCGCAGGGCCGTGCCGGGGACCGGGAGCCAGGCGCTTCAGCAGGCGGCACCACCCAGCCCGGGCTCAGCCCCTCTCCGCGGCCGCTGCCATCTTGTCCTGGCGGCTGAGAGGAAACGGCGAAACACCCTCCCCCGACCGCTGCTGCTGCTGCTGCTGCTCTGGCTGCTAAGCGCCGGGCCCGTCTCCCTCATCTTCCTTCCCGGGGATTTGGGGTGGGGACGGCTTGGCTAGGGCGAGGGGTAGTGGGAGGCCGGTCGGCCTCCGGCTACTGGGGCCTACGGGCGACGCAGGGTGCGGGGCCCACGGCGATTGGGGCCCATTCCTGACGCCCCGGCCGGGAGCGGAGAAGGAAGACTGGCGGGAGTGGTGGCGACGGCGGGGCCTGCGGCTTGATCTCCTCAGGTCGCCGCGATGCCGGCAGTCGTCACTGAGGCAGCTGCCACCAGCCGCCCCAGCCTCGGGCCCCTCCTCCGCGCTCGTCGGCCTCGGCCACCGCCTCCGCAGCGCCACCGCCCGCCCGGCAGCGCTGCGCGCCCAGCCCGGGCGGCTCCGCTCCGCTCCGGCCGCGGCGCCTCCGTGAAGCCCCTCCCCGGGGTCCGCCCGCCAGTCCGCAGCCGCGCCCTTGTTGCCCGGAGCCCGCCTGCCAGCCCGTGCGGCCCCAACCCGGAGTCCCGCAAGCCAAGCCTCCCGCGAAAGAAGCATCCGTCAGCCCGGCTCTGCTGTTCTGAACCTCACTCCATGCCCCCTCCGCCAGAAATACACATTTTTAAAAAAGATCCCAATACCCGAAGAAAGGATGAAGATGCGGAAGCAGGATTTTACAGGCCTTTCGAGATCCCGGAACCGTAATTAAGGATCTGTTTCTCGGCATTTGGTCGTTAAAGGTCCCAAAATAAGTAAAGGGGAAATGCTCAAATGAACGACCTCAATCTAAACTAGGTTCTACCCGCTCCCCTATCCCAAAGAGTGAAGAGAATTGTAAAGCCAGGTTCAAGGACGGGGGAAGGGTCCTCTTGGAAATTTTAAGAGCATCTCTACTGTCCAAAACCCCATAATTGTGAAGTTCGCCCACCTCCACATTGGTAATTCTCCGTTAAATTAGTCGGTTTAACTCCCAAAGACTAGTTTCTTTCCTCCTGGAGATTAGGAAATCAACAGAATGGCCTGTTTCAGCTTACATAATCGTGGAACCATAGAATTTTAGGAATGAAAGAAGCTTTGCGATCCTTGGTCCCAACTCTTACACTCAGGAGTTCCAAGAAGTTTAGGTGACATGACCAAGGTTATACAGTAAAGCCCATGTCTCCCACCCCATCTTTCCTCCTTTTCCCTAGGAAACAAATGGCTTTCTAATACCTCACATTCAGAGTTGATTTTCTTTTATACCCGTTTCCTCAGGTTCCCTTTGTTCTGAATCAATGTCTAACCTTTTGGGAAACAAACACCTTTCTGGAATGGAAGTGTCCTTTCTTTGTTTCCTTCATAATCTTCACTAGCAAGATTGAATTTACCAGAGATGTATTTATTCCCAGAAATTTTCTATTGCAGTAACTGGGGCAGGGCAAAGGGAGTGGCAAATTGCTGCATACATAATACACATTTAATCCCTGCTGCTCTTCAAACCGGAAGATGAGTATTTTGGATAATGCCTTTAAGAGACAAAGGAGGCCGGGCGCGGTGGCTCGCACATGTAATCCCAGCACTTTGGGAGGCTGAGGCGGGTGGATCACCTGTGGTCAGGAGTTCAAGACCAGCCTGGCCAACATAGTGAAACCTGGTCTCTACTAAAAATGCAAAAATTAGCTGGGCGTGGTGGCGGGCGCCTGTAATCCCAGCTACTCGAGAGCTGAGGTAAGAGAATCGCTTGAATCGCTTGAGCCACTGCACTCCAACCTGGGCGACAGGGAGAGACTCTGTCTCAAAAAATAAAATAAAAGAGAAAGGATAGTATGCCCTGAGGCCACTGGAAATAACACTTTCGAATGACAGTTGTTTTCAGGTTAGAGAGGATAACCAGCTGAAAAGGCTTCCAATATAGAAGAACAAAACAATGGCTGCCTTTCAGAGAGATAGCCTATGAACCATTCCTTTTCACTTAGTATTTCGTTACTTTTTATTTTTCTTAAGAACAATAGTCAAAAGAATCAAAGAGGATAAAATCATTTACTCAACGGAGAAAGCTACAATAGTAGAAAAATCTGTCAGGAGGAACAGAGAAACTATTCCACTAGAACTTCAAATTTCAGAATTTTTGCAGACATTTAAGGAGGCCATCTCTAATGGAAGGCTTCCATTCCCTGTATTTGCTACATCCATGAAGAGATGGAAATGAGAGACAAGGATTTATTTTCCTTTCTATCTCCTGCATGTTGCTACTCACTACACTATATATTCCAGGAGGGGATTCATTCATCTTTTTTTTTTTTTAGATGAAGTCTCGCTCTATTGCCAGGGTTCAAGCAATTCTCCTGCTTCAGCCTCCCGAATAGCTGAGACTACAGGCATGCCCCACCATACCCAGCTAATTTTTGTACTTTTAGCAGAGACGGGGTTTTACCATGTTGGCCAGGATGGTCTCGATCCCTTGACCTCGTGCTCTGTCCACCTCAGCCTCCCAAAGTGTTGGGATTACAGGCATGAGCCACCACGCCCGGCCTCATCTTTTTTTTTAACCATTATATTGCAAGTGCCTAATACAGTGCCTGACTTGTGGTAAGACCTTAGTAAATGTTGCAAAATAAGTAAATGATATATTCCAGCCCCCCTTCACTTTATACCTATTGTCTCCTAACCTAATTTCTTTACCTCTAATCTCTTCCCCTTCAAATCTTTCTTTTTTTGAGGCACGATATCAGCTCCTCTGCCTCCCAGGTTCAGGCGATTCTCCTGCCTCAGCCTCCCAAGTAGCTGGGACTGCAACTTCCGCCTCCCAGGTTCAGGCGATTCTCCTGCCTCAGCCTCCCAAGTAGCTGGGACTACAGGCCCGTGCCACCACGCCCAGCTAATTTTTTGTATTTGTAGTAGAGATGGGGTTTCACCATGTTAGCCAGGATGGTCTTGATCTCCTGACCTGACAGAGTCTAATTTTGTCACCCAGGCTGGAGCACAGTGGTGTGATCTCCATTCACCACAGCCTCAACTCCCTGGGCTCAAGGGATCCATCCACCTCAGCCTCCCACCTAACTGGGATTACAGACACGCACCACCACAGCCAGCTATTTTTTTTTTATTTTTAGTATGGAGATGCGGTTTCATTATGTTGGCCAGACTGGTCTGGAACTCCTGGCCTCAAGTGATCCGCCCACCTCAGCCTCCCAAAAGTGCTGGGATTTCAGGTGTGAGCCACTGCGCCTGGCTTTCAAATCTATTCTGAACACAAACATCTAGATAATCTCCCAAAGCCCCTAATGTAGCTATTTTACAAAGTTTGAGGGTTGTTTTTTTTTTTTAAGGAAAATTTCTCATAGTGCTAAGATCTCTCAAAAATGCAGGCTGGGGGAGGGCATGGTAGCTCACATCTGTAATCCCAGCACTTTGGGAAGCTGAGGTTGGGGGATTGCTTGAGCCCATGAGTTCCAGGCTGCAGTGAGCTGTGATTTCGCCACTGCACTCCAGGCTAAGTGACAGAGCAAGATCTTGCCTCTAAAAAATAAAACAGGAAGATACTAAAGAAAACCTTAATGTTTTCATTCAAAAAAATTACTTAAGGGCCAGACTTGGTGGCTCACACCTGTAATTCTATCACTGAGCAAGACCTAGCCTCTTCAAAAACCCCTCTCTCTCTACAAAAAATACAAAAACTAGCCTGGCCTGGTGGTGCACGCCTGTAGTCCCAGCTACTCGGGAGGCTGAGATGGGCCCTGAGGCTGCAGTGAGTTGTGATCACACCACTGCACTCCAGCCTGGGCGACAGAGTAAGACCCTGTCTCTGAGTAAGTAAGTAAGTAAATAAACAAATAAAATCCTTCACAGAACTAGCCCACAAGGAACTCAATCAACTTTTTGTCTCCTTACTCCAGCCACTCTCTGGAGCTCCGTAGGTGCCTGGATCACCTTCTGCCTGAAACATTCCTCAAGTATAGCCATCCACCTTTCTTTCCTGTCCTTACTCAAATATTGCCTTCATGGTGAAGCCTCCTCTTCAGCGATGACCACCTATATTTACATTCCCTGTCTTTATCTTTCTCTTTAGGGCTTGCCATCATCTTAGATACTATGATATATATTTTCTGTTCCCTTGTCCCTCAAGGTAAGCTTTCACAGGGCAAGAATTTTTGTCTGTTTTCTTGATGCTTTGATCCCCAGAGCCTAGAACAGGGCCTTGCATGTAAAGGGAACTCAAATATTTGTAAAGTGAAAAAATAAATTTTCTATGGAATCAGTAAGAAACCCTCCATAAACTCAGACTGCGAGCAGTCACAATTGTTTGAGATCACCTAGCCATGAAATCCAAGCCCTCTCTCTCAGCTATTCCTCCCACCTCTACCTCCAAAAATTACTCTGCCCAGGCCAGGCGTGGTGGCTCATGCCTGTAATCGCAGCACTTTGTAAGGCCAAAGCGAGTGGACCACCTGAGGTCAGGAGTTCGAGATCAACCTAGCCAACATGGTGAAACCCCGTCTCTACTAAAAATACAAAAATTAGCTGGATGTGGTGGCACACACCTGTAATCCCAGCTACTCGGGAGGCCGAGGCATGAGAATAGCTTGAATCTGGGAGGCAGAGGTTGCAGTGAGCCGAGATCACACCACTGCACTCCAGCCTGGGTGACAGAATGAGACTCTGCCTAAAAAAATAAATAAATAAAAATAACATTACTCTTCCCAAAGGAGGCCAGTCCTCCTCGCACTCACCTTGTGTTCTTCGCTGCCATTGCTCCTCGTTAAACCACATATAGGTGTTCCTGTGAAGAGATGGCCCTCCGCAGTCTCCACAAATGATGCCGACGCTTCTGTCCAAAGCCATGCAGTTTCAAGAAAAAGCTGGGAACTTTTTCAGAGCCTGAGTCACCAATCCACACTCCCCTTCCTCAGGGAAGTTGGTTGTTGTTTTGTTTTTGTTTTTTTCTCTAGTCCTTGGGTATCCTTTCTTACCATTACACCTTGGGAGAATAGGAGGTACCCTGTCAACCAAAAATAGCCCCCTAGTTACTAATATCAAGGAGGAGAGGTTCACCAAGGGGACTTCTGTCTCCTCCCTCCCAGGAGGTCCTGGCTTTTTTTTTTTTTTTTTTTGAGGTGGAGTTTCGCTCTTGTTGCCCAGGCTGGAGTGCAATAGCTCGATCTCAGCTCACCGAAACCTCTGCCTCCCGGGTTCAAGCGAAACCTCTGCCTCCCGGGTTCAAGCGGTTCTCCTGCCTCAGCCTCCCGAGTAGCTGGGATTACAGGCGTGCACCAACACGCCCGGCTAATTTATGCGTTTTTAGGAGAGACAGGGTTTCACCGTGTTGATCAGACTGGTCTCCAACTCCTGACCTCAGGTGATCCGCCCACCCCAGCCTCCCAAAGTGCTGGGATTACAGGTGTGAGCCACCACGCCCGGCAGTCCTGGCTTTCTTATATAAATAATCTGTCTTCTTCCTGGAGATCAGCTTTGTATACCCGAGCCTCAGGAAGGGGCAACTGGAATGGAAAAAAAAAAAAAAAATCCATTCAGGAGTGTGCCACTCCTACCACTCTGCATAACCAAAAAGCCCAGTCAAGTAACTCTTTGCAGCCCAAAGATTTGTTTCTCCTTCTGAAAAAAAAAGAAGAAAGAAACTGTTTCCACTAAATTTTACAGATAAAACACTCATATTTTTAGAAGTTCACAATCTCATCTTTATCTGGGAGTTAGGTACTACAGTCAGCGCAAGGCAAAAATCTCACATAGTAAAATTAATCCTTGAAAATTACCTCAATTACCCATAAAGCATAATATACATTGTTTTGTATATACAACCTGAACATGTCTATATTAATGATATGTTACTTATATGTCTATATTAATGATATGTTACTTATAGTTAGTCATAAATTAAATTTTCACGTTTCACCTCTTGGAGCACTTCAGAAATTTTATGAAGATTATAATAACTGGTTAGCTTTTTCAGTTTCTTTCTGTTCTTTCTGTTTTTTTTTTTTTTTTTTTTTTTTTTTTTTTTTTTTTTTTTTTTTTTTTGTCAGGGTCTTGCTCCATCGCCCAGGCTAGAGGGCAGTGGCACAATCACAGCTGGCTGCAGCCTCGACTTTCCAGGCTCAAGTGACTCTTCTGCCTCAGCCTCCCGAGCAGCTGGGAATAGAGGCATGTGCCACCACACCTGGCAAATTTTTGTACATTTTGTAGAGATAGGGTTTCACCATGTTGCCCAGGCTGATCATCTTCTTTATATACAGTCTAGTAATCACCCTCTTTGTCAAAGTTTTGCTAGAGCCCTCAATTAATCATTCAATTTCTTCCTCCAGGATAATGAATACACTAGCATGTCACCCCATCTGACACCCAAATAATCTCTCTGTGGTTGGGGAATCATTAAAGTACTTGGCACATTATCTCCATAGGTTTTTGCCAAAATGCACCTTTCAGATTTGATTGAATCATTGCCCACGTGCTTCAGCAACTTGAATGGAAAGTCCTGCCAGCACTCACACCATTTACATTGTTCTTTCTCTCCAGAGCTGCTGTATTTAGTTCTCAGAAGTTAAAGGAACTTAAAATGCAATATAATGAACTAACATCAGTTTTATATTTTAAAAAATGTTTAAACTAAGGTAATGCAAAACAAGGCAAGTAAGCCTTCAATCTTTTTTTCATCTCAACATTTCCCTGCTCACAAACCTTAGGACTATTGTTTTACCTACTGAAAATGTCCCTGTGTTTTAGTTTGGCTGTTGAGGCACATTACAGTTGGATCCCATAAAACCTTTTAGCCATTTTTCCTGTACTTCCGTATGATCCCACCAAAGAGTTCTTTTCCCTTTCCCCAACTCTAACCCTTATTTCTCCATGCCCAGTAGCCATTCTTCAAAGTCAAAGTTAAATGTTCACCCTTCCAAAAAGCTTTGATTGAACATCCAATTCTTGTGTGTGTGTGTGTGACAGCGTTTCACTCTTGTCACCCAGGCTGGAGTGCAATGGCACCATCTCGGCTCACTACAACCTCTGCCTCCTGGATCCAAGTGATTCTCCTGCCGCTGCTTCCTGAGTAGCTGGGATTACCAGCAGGAGCCACCATGCCCAGCTAATTTTTGTATTTTTTAGTAGAGACGGGGTTTCACCATGTTGGCCAGGCTGGTCTTGAACTCCTGACCTCAGGTGATTTACCCACCTCAGCCTCCCAAAGTGCTGGAATTACAGGCATGAGCCACCACGCCCAGCCTGAACATCCAATTCTTAAGTGATATTCATTCACCTCACAAATATTGTTTAGTTCCTGCTATATACCAGGAACTTTTCTGAATTATTTTATTAAATAACTCAAGGATAACTATTGTGACTCAATAGTAATTGAGCCACTGTGGCTCACCTGTAATCCCAGCATTTTGGGAGGCTGAGGCAGGAGGATCCCTTGAGGCAAGGAGTTTGAGACCAGCCTGGCCAACATGGCGATACCCTCTCTCTGCTAAAAATACAAAAATTAGCCAAGTGTGGTAATTCCAGCTACTTGGGAGGCTGAGGCAGGAGAATCGCTTGAACCCAGGAGGCAGAGGTTGCAGTGGGCTAAATTGGTGCCACTGCACTCCAGCCTGGGTGACAGAGTGAGACTCTGTCTCTAAATAAATAAATAAATAAATAATACGGAGAGATTAACATTAATACAGAGAGATTAAGAACCTTGTCCAGGCTGGACATGGTGGCTCACACCTGTAATCCCATCACCATGGGAGGCTGAGGCAGGAGGATCTCTTGATTCCAGGAGTTTTAGACCAGCCTAGGGAACATGGTGAAACCCCCATCTATGCAAAAAATACAAAAATTAGGCTGGGCGTGGTGGCTGATGCCTGTAATCCCAGCACTTTGGGAGGCTGGGCAGATCACTTGAGGTCAGGAGTTCCAGACCAGCCTGGCCAACATGGTGAAACCCCAACTCTACTAAAAATACAAAAATTATCTGGGTGTGGTGTCATGCACCTGTAATCCTAGCTACTTGGGAGGCTAAGGCAGGAGAATCGCTTGAACCTGGGAGGTGGAGTTAGCAGTGAGTAGAGATTGCAGACTGTACTCCAGTTTGGACAACAGAGTGAGAACCTGCCTCAGGAAAAAAAAAAGTATATATATATATATAAGCTGGGCAAGGTGGCACGTGCCTGTAGTCCCAGCTACTGGGGAGGCTGAAGAGGGAGGATGGCTTGAGCCTAGGAGGCGGATGTTGCAGTGAGCCAAATTTGCGCCATTGCACTCCAGCCTGGGTGATCAAGTGAGACTTTGTCTCAAATAAATAAATAAATGGTAACTATTACTATTCTCATTTTACAAGTGAGGAAATTGAAGTATTGAAGTACAGAGACCCTGTCTAAAAAAAAAAAAAAAAAAAGAAGCAGCAGCTTGTCCAAGGTTACATAGTAAATGATGGAGTTGGATTTGTACCCAAGCTGTCTGGCCTTAAACCTTTATCCCAAAAAAATACAGATTTCCACTAAATGAAGTCTTTAAAATGTTTCTGGAAGACATATAATCCTAAAGGAGATTTTAATTTCTCTTGCAAGGAGTTAAAATTGAGACTTGTGTTCCTGACAGGTCTCAGCATCAAATCATGGATATGACAAATATTAAACTATGAAAGGAAAGTAGAATTTTATGATCCTCTAAAATGGTACATGGAGAACAGTGGTTCAAGCTCATCTGGTTTCATCTCGTTTTACAGATGAAAGAACAGAGGTTCGGTTAAGTAAGAACAAAAACTCAGACAGATTTCATTACTTACCCAAGACCATGCAGGTCCAGTCCTCTTGCCTCAGTCATCCCATTTATGAATCATAATGACTGTCTGTAGTCCCAAAATAGGAACTCCCTGATTTATTATTTATTTATTTCCAAATTCCTTCTTCCCTCTCTTTATATTCCTTCTTCCCTTCAGTCCTTCCATATTAAATGTTGATTGCCTATTTTTAGGTAGTAAATCACCCATTCCTTGTTTCTTGGCTCATGTGCCACAGTGAAATGTATGAGGAAATATGCAAAGACCTTACAAAAGTGGAGTGTGTTCAGTCATGCACATAACTATAACAAACTACAACAAAACCCTGCCTGCTAACACCAGATTCCTCTGGGATAGTGAAATGTCAGGCACTTAAAAAGAAATTATTTGAGTGCAGTGGCGCTATCTCAGCTCACTGCAACTTCCGCCTCCCGGGTTGAAGTTCAATTCTCGTACCGCATCATAACCTATCCTGCATATGTGTTAGTCCAGCTCTTCTAGAGGACATAATGTAAGGAACTGTTCCCAGGGCGCCAGAGTGGATGAACGTTGAAGATAGCTGTGCCTTTAAAACTTTCAGAACAGGCCGGGCACCGTGGTTCAGGCCTCTACTCCCAGAACTTTGGGAGGCCAGAGTGAGCGAAACACTTGATGTCAAGAGTTCAAGACCAGCCTGGCCAACATGGTGAAACCCTGTCTCTAATAAAAATACGAAAATTAGCCAGGTGTGGTGGCGGGTGCCTATAATCCCAGCTACTTGGGAGGCTGAGGCAGGAGAATCACTTGAACCTGGGAGGGAGAGGCTTCAGTGAGCCGAGATTGGGACACCGCACTCCAGTCTGGGCAACAGAGCAAGACTCTGTTTCAAAAATCAATCAATCAATCAATAAAATCATAACAGACAATAGAAGTAGGTCTAAGAAAATTTGTGAGGCTTGGACTAGTACTCTTTCTTCCTTGCTTTTCCTTAGGATGCCCCTTATATTACATTTTGTCTACACACTTGGTTTTCTCCCTTCTTTGTTCAAAGACTCTCTCTTCTAACGGCTTCAGATTATGCTCTCATTATCAAAAGCGCCCCATTGGAACACACCTCTTCCCACCAGGTATGCAGAGATCCTTCACATTGAAATTACATCTTTCTTTGATCAAATTACTCATTCCCCAAGTAAATTCAAGTTTAATCTTAGGAAAAGTATGCTTTTTTTTTTTTTTAGACACTCTGTCACCTGGGCTGGAGTGCAGTGGCACTATCTCGGCTCACTGCAACCTCTGCCTCCCAGATGCAAATGATTCTCCTGTCTCAGCCTCCTGAGTAGCTGGGATTACAGGCACTCGCCAATATGCGCAGCTAGTTTTTTGTATTTTTAGTAGACACGGGTTTCACCATGTTGTCCAGGCTGGTCTCAAGCTCCTGACCTCATGATTTGCCCGCCTCAGCCTCCTAAAGTGCTAAGATTACAGGCGTGAGCCACCACACCCAGCCAGGAAAAGTATGCTATTTAAAACATACTTTTATTTTATGTTTTATAATATCCAAAATAACCAATAGCCCAAACAAAGCCTTTGTTGGAATAAGAAAAAGGCATTGACTCTACTTCCATCTGTCAGAAAATTATCTTTTTTTTTTAAATATATATATATATATACCTACCAGGTTTTTTCTTATTGCCGAGACTAGAGTGCAGTGGTGTGATCACAGCTCACTGAAGCCTCAAACTCCCAGGGTCAAGTGATTCTCCCACCTCAGCCTCCTGAGTGGCTGGGACTGTAGGCATGTGCTACCACATCCAGCCAATTGTTTTATTTTCTGTAGAGGCAGAGTCTCTCTATGTTGCCCCAGCTGATCTTGAATTCCTGTTCTCAAGTGATCCTCCAGCCTCCGCCTCCCAAAATGCTGGGATTGTAAGTGTGAGCCACTGCACCTGACCCAGAAAATTTTCTTAATATACCAGTTTTGTTAAGGCAACACGTTTTTGCCATCTGTTAGAAAAACATCATAATAAACACACACATCTGTGATATCTGCAGTGTAAAGCATGCCTGTCCTCATGCAGCAGCTGTGCTGGTACAGCCTTCCTTTCTTGCCTTTTGACAAGAGAAGGAGAATCCTCAGTTAACTGTACAACTTGGGACATATTTCATAGCCTCCAAAGTCTTTTTCCTCATCTTTGAATTTGATGTAATTATGTCTACCTTGCATGACGCTGAGAATTAAATGAGATGGTCAGCTGGGTGCAGTAGCTCATACCTGTAATCCCAGCACTTTGGGAGTCTGAGGAGGGCAGATCACTGGAGGTCAGGAGTTCAAGGCCAGCCTGGCCAACATGGCGAAACCCTGTCTCTACTGAAAATACAAAAATTAGCTGGGCATGGTGGCAGATACCTGTAATCACAGCTGCTTGGGAGCCTGAGGCAGGAGAGTTGTTTGAACCCAGGAGGCAGAGGTTGCAGTGAGCCAAGATCATGCCACTACACTCCAGCCTGGGTGACAGAGTGAGACTCCGTCTCAAAAAAAAAAAAAAAAAAGGAGTGGACCCTAATTCCCTTCCTTTTGTGGGCTGGACTTGGTTACTTGCTCTTAACAAACAAAATAAAATGATAAAATGGAAATGATGATGTGCAACTTCAGACACTAGGTCATCAAAAGGTATTATGCCTTTCACCTTGATACTTCTCCAACTGCTATGTTGCAAGCCTTATGGAGAAACTCATTTAGCAAGGAACTGAAACCTTTGGTCAATAGCCATATGAAAGAGCTTGGAAGCAGATCCTGCAGCCTCAGTCAAGCCTTCAGATGAATGCAACCCTGGCCAACATTGAGTGCAACCTCCTTAAAGACCCTGAGCCACACAAACCCAGCTTAGCCTCTCCTGATGTCCTCATCCACAGAAACTAGGAGATAGATGGTTGCTGTTTTAAGCTACTCAGTTTTGGGGGTAATGTGTTCCACAGTAAGCGATAACTAATAAAATCACCCTGTATGTACTAGACAATGTTCCAGGCACTGAGGACGTAATGATGAACAGTACAAACAAAATCCATGCCCTAATATGGCACTTACATTCTAATGGGGCTGACAGAATATAAACAAGTAAATAAATAAATAAAGCCAGGTAGCAATACATACTCTAAGAAATACAAAGCCAGTCCAGGCACAGTGGCTCACACCTGTAATCCCAGTGCTTTGGGAGGCCAAGACAGGCGGATCACTTGAGGTCAGAAGTTTGAGGCCGGCCTGGCCAACATGGTGAAACCCCGTCTCTACTAAAATACAAAAATTAGCCGGCGGTGGTGGTGTGCACCTATAATCCCGGCTACTTGGGAGGCTGAGGCAGGAGAATCACTTGAACCTGGGAGGTGGAGGCTGCCGTGAGCCAAGATCATGCCACTGCACTCCAGCCTGGGCAACAGAGTGAGACTCACTCTCAAAAAAAAAAAAAAAAAGAAAGAAAGAAATACAAAGCCAGATGGAGATATACAGAGTTCCTAGGGATTGAAGTAGAGACGTGGTGGTGAGAGCAGAGTGAAGCATTTTTAGATAGGATGTACAAGGAGATAGCTTTAAGTAGAGACCTGAATGATATGAAGGAAGAATTATACCATTATGTGATGGAATAGTTTTTGTTCTTGTTGTGGTCATTGTTTTTTCAGGCAGATGAAATTAAAAAATGTAAAGACTCAAAGGCAGAAAAGAACTTGACATATTCTAGGAGCAGTCAGAAAGCCAGTGTGGCTTGGGCGGAGGAACCAAAAAGAGCAGTATGCAATAGGGTCTGTGAGTAGCCAGAGAGACCATATCCCTTCCCTTTCTGAACCCAGCCAAAGCCAACCATTGAAAAGGGAATAACACCCGTGTTCTTTACTGTGAGCCACAAAGCCTATCACTCTGACCTCATCCCCTACCATGCTACCCACTTCGGTTATTGAATTCTGGGCACACTGGCCTTTGGTTAGCACTTATCACATCCAAAAATACCTTGTTAATTTTCTTACATACTTGTTTATTTTGTGTTTTCTTTTTTTATTTTAAATTTTTCATTTTTGTGGGTACATAGTAGGTGTATATATTCACGGAGCATATGTGGTATTTCAATACAGGCATGCGATGTGTGATAGTCACATTGGGGTAAATAGAGTACACATACCCCAAGCATCTATCATTTATTTATGTTACAAACATTTCAATTATATTCCTTATTTTTAAATGTACAATAAGTTGTTGTTCAGTATAGTCACCCTATTGTGTTATCAAATACCAGATCTTATTCATTCTATCTAATATATTTTCTTTTTTAAAAATCTAACTATGTTTTATTTTATTTTATTTATTTATTTATTTTTTTAATAGTATTTATTGATCATTCTTGGGTGTTTCTCGGAGAGGGGGATTTGGCAGGGTCATAGGACAATAGTGGAGGGAAGGTCAGCAGATAAACATGTGAACAAGGGTCTCTGGTTTTCCTAGGCAGAGGACCCAGCGGCCTTCCGAAGTGTTTGTGTCCCTGGGTACTTGAGATTAGGGAGTGGTGATGACTCTTAACGAGCATGCTGCCTTCAAGCATCTGTTTAAGAAAGCACATCTTGCACCACCCTTAATCCATTTAACCCTGAGTGGACACAGCACATGTTTCAGAGAGCAGGGGGTTGGGGGTAAGGTTATAGATTAACAGCATCCCAAGGCAGAAGAATTTTTCTTAGTACAGAACAAAATGGAGTCTCCTATGTCTACTTCTTTCTGCACAGACACAGTAACAATCTGATCTCTCTTTCTTTTCCCCACATTTCCCCCTTTTCTGTTCGACAAAACCGCCATCGTCATCATGGCCCGTTCTCAATGAGCTGTTGGGTACTCCTCCCAGACGGGGTGGCAGCCGGGCAGAGGGGCTCCTCACTTCCCAGATGGGGCAGCCGGGCAGAGGCGCCCCCCACCTCCCAGACAGGGCGGCTGGCCGGGTGGGGACTGCCCCCGACCTCCCTCCCAGACGGGGCGGCTGGCCAGGTGGGGGCTGCCCCCCACCTCCTGGAAGGGGCGGCTGCTGGGCGGAGACGCTCCTCACTTCCCAGACGGGGCGGCTGCCGGGCGGAGGGGCTCCTCACTTCCCAGACGGGGCGGCCGGGCAGAGACGCTCCTGACCTCCCAGACGGGGTGGCGGTCGGGCAGAGACGCTCCTCAGTTCCCAGACGGGGTCGCGGCCGGACAGAGGCGCCCCTCACATCCCAGACGGGGCGGCGGGGCAGAGGCGCTCCCCACATCTCAGACGATGGGCGGCCGGGCAGAGACGCTCCTCACTTCCTAGATGGGATGGCGGCCAGGAAGAGGCACTCCTCACTTCCCAGACTGGGCGGCCGGGCAGAGGGGCTCCTCACATCCCAGACGATGGACGGCCAGGCAGAGACGCTCCTCACTTCCTAGACGGGGTGGCAGCCGGGCAGAGGCTGCAATCTCAGCACTTTGGGAGGCCAAGGCAGGCGGCTGGGAGGTGGAGGTTGTAGCCAGCCGAGATCACGCCACTGCACTCCAGCCTGGGCAAGATTGAGCACTGAGTGAGCGAGACTCCGTCTGCAATCCCGGCACCTCGGGAGGCCGAGGCGGGCAGATCACTCGTGCTCAGGAGCTGGAGACCAGCCCGGCCAACACAGTAAAACCCCGTCTCCACCAAAAAATACAAAAAGCAGTCAGGCGTGGCGGCGCGCGCCTGCAATCCCAGGCACTCGGCAGGCTGAGGCAGGAGAATCAGGCAGGGAGGTTGCAGTGAGCCGAGATGGCGGCAGTACAGTCCAGCCTCGGCTCGGCATCAGAGGGAGACCGTGGAAAGGCGAGACGAGGGAGAGGGAGACCGTGGAAAGGGGAGAGGGAGAGGGAGAGGGAGAGGGAGAGGGAGAGGGGGAGGGAGAGGGGGAGGGGGAGGGAGAGATCTAACTATGTTTTCATGCCCATTAATATTCCCCTGCTCCCTGCCCCCACTCCCCTTCCTAGCCTGTGATAACCATCATTCTACTATTTCCATGAGTTCAGTTGTTTCAATTTTTAGCTCCCACAAATAAGTGAGAACGTGTGAAGTTTGTCTTTCTGTACCTAGCATATTTCACTTAACACAATATCCTCCAGTTCTATCCATGTTGTTTCAAATGACAGGATCTCATTCTTTTTTATGGCTATATAGTACTCCATTGTATATATGTATCACATTTCCTTTATCCATGCATCTATTAATGGATGCTTAGGTTAATTTTAAATCTTGACTATCGCAAATAGTGCTACAATAAACCATGGGAGTACAGGTATCTCTTCAATATATTGATTTTCTTTCTTTTGGGGATATACCTAGCAGTGGGATTGTCAGATCATACAGTAGTTCTATTTTTATTTTTTTGAGAACCTCCATACTGTTCTCCATAGTGGCTGTACTAACTTCATGCTTGTTTATTTTGTCTCTTCCTATAACAGTGTAAGCTCCACCAGAGCAGCAGACTCTCATAAAACCTCATGGGATGAATGAAAGGAGTGTCATCCCTTAAGACATTGGCAACAAAAGCATAGCCTGACATATTCTACTACAAGTGCCTGCAGTAACCTATGCAGAGAGGAGCAAATGAACTCCCACAGGAAGGTGGACGATCCCTGAGCCAGAGATAACTGGAACTCTGGCAGTTTGAGTGGACACTCAGTCACACACTCACACACTCACTCACAGCGTTATGCAATTCCAAAAATTATGTGTTTGGTTCCAGGCAGATACATTTTTCCCCTCTAAGTCCAAAATAAAGATAGAAATGCATATATCTAACAGACTATCATGGCAGAATTATTTTTCTTAAAAGGATGTGTTATTTATTATACTATCAAATATCAGAATAAGACATTTAAGATTATGAGAAGCTTTCAGATAGAGCAAAACGCAAATCCTGTCATTTACTTCCTATGTGACTTAGGCAAGCTACTTAATCTCTCTAAACTTCAGTCTCTTTATCTGTAACTAAGGAGATTCTAATACCTACTTACAATAGCCTTGTAAAAATTCAATTAGATTCCAGAAAGTTCTCAGACAAACAAACAAACAAAATAAAAACCCTGAGTGTCAAATGATCACAGGAGTCAAATGAAAG